>NC_000004.12:86194108-86345623 GCF_000001405.40 Homo sapiens | reverse complement strand
TTTTTATCCCAGCTATGTCATGAATTAATATTCCCTTGGGCAAGTCTTAATTTCTAAAGTGACTAAGACACCAATAGTTTCACCGAGTATATTGGAAAATCTCAGTACAGTTTAGAAATCCTGATTTCTAAAGGTGAATTTTAAAAGATTTCTCTCATAAGTAATCAATGAACAAATATTTGTGCACACCAGTTCTTCAACAGCAAAGAATAATTTCAAGATAAGACAAAGCTGAGCTTCAACTGTATATGAGAGAATTGTAATAGATGGTGTCTAAATTTCTTTAATTGTAAAAATTATGTGGATTAAGTTGCACACAGATTGAATTAAAGAATGAGATGATACCTAAGCGGTCTCATCCAAGTGGGGTACCTTGGTGAGGGAAGCCTTGGCTAGTGAAGGACTCCATGAGGATGCAAAGCAGCTACGAGGGGAAGAGGGGGCTCAGAAGGCTATTAGAGAGGGACTTGCTAATGCACAATTTTGCTTTAACTTTCCCCGTTTTGTTGTCTTCAGCTTAATTCTGCCCATTCTTATTTACTCTGAATCAATAAATAAGATATTTTAGCTATAGGAAGTCACTTCTAATTATTAAAGATGTGCTAAACATAAGGAAGATAGTTTATGCATAGCCAGCCAAACTGACTATATCAATTTTCCAGGTTTGCATCATTCTTTATCCCAAAATTATCCTTTGCTATTGAAAGACTAGTGTGCACAAGTATTTGTTTATTAATTTACTTATAAGAGAAATCTTTTAAAATTTGCCTTTAGAAATAATGATTTCTAAACTCTACTGGGATTTTCTAACATATCAGGTGAAACTATTGGTGCCTTGGTCACTTTAGGTATGATATCAACATAAACACATTTACATGAAGTTAACAGACATTTTCAATGGGCAGATTACTGTGGTAGAGTCTTGGAAGATTAAATATCACACAGTTCCTTCCTCCCTCCCCTCATATTCCCTGCTTCCCTTCCTTCCTCCCTCCCTCACTCCCTCACTTCTTCCCTCCCTCCCTCCCTCCCACGAATATTTACTGACTGTTTACTCTGTACCAGGTGCTGCAGAAACAAAGATAAATTTCACTTTGTTTCTAAGCAGCTCACTATTAAAGTAGGGGGCTTTGGAGGTGGGGAGAGAAAGAAGAAAATCTTGTGAATAAATCCCACACAGTAGGATAGTTTCTTTGATAGAAGTTGAGAGCAGGCATAGTGGCTCACACTTGTAATCCCAGCTCTTTGGGAGGCTGAGGCAGGATCGCTTGAGCCCAGGAGTTTGAGGCCAGCCTGGGCAATATAGCAAGACACTGACTCTACGAAAAAATTAGCAGAGTGTGGTGACATGTGCCTATAGTCCCAGCTACTCGGGAAGCTGAGGGGATAGAATTCCTGGAGCCCTGGAGGTTGAGGCTGCAGTGACTGTGATAAGCACTCCAGCCTGGGTGACAGAGCAAGACCCTGTCTCTAAACTCAGCTTCTACCCAGGCATTCTCAAATGAGGTTCTGCAGAGAGACATGAGCCCACTGCCCTCAGGCAGTAATTCTCAAATGTTTTAGTCTCATGATCCCTTTATATTCTTGAAAGGTAATGAGAAACCTAAAGAATTTTTGTTGTAGCCACTGGTATTTACCATTTTATAAATTAAAATATAAAATTGTAAATATTTATGTAATTTATTTAAAAATCAATGATTGTAAACCCATTACATGTTAACATAAATAGTTATCTTTTTATGAAAACTACTTTTAAGAAATAAAAATAATTTAGTGACAAAGTGGCATTGTTTTACACTTTTGCCAATCTGGTTAATGACTGCTTTAACAGAAGGCAGCTGAATTCTCCTATCTACCTATTGTTTCAATTTTTTGTTATACTATACATCAAGTCACCTTTGGAAGACTGCCATATACCTGTGAGAGTACGAGAGTGACAATGTTGAACCATGTCTTCATATTATTTGGAATTAGTTTTGACTAATTTGGGGGCCACATGAAAAGGTCTTGGGGACACTCAGGGGTCCGTGAACTATACTTTGAGAACCACTCCTAAAAAGTATCTGTTGTATGTAATGAATAAATGTCTCTTTTATGCATCTAGCATGGCACTATTATGTAACACCCTTGAAAAAATCGAGAAAATAGTGTTTTGCTATTTAGATAAGGTACCATAAATGAGGAAGGCTGCCAGACTATAAGCCTCACAAAAGCAGGGATGTTTCTCATTTTCACCCATTACCTGTCACAAAATCTGACATAGAACCTGACTCTGGGAATCTCAGTGACAGAACGTTCTAACAAGAGGGATGTACTTTCATAAGTCCCTGTAGTCCTAGGTAGAATGTGGTGAGTGTTACAAATAAGACTAAACATGGAGGAGCTGGAGGAAGCAGTCCTTTACAGATGGTAGGTCAGGAGGTCTTCATGAGGAAGACAGCACTGGGGTGGAAATGCGAACATATTTTGATAGTGCTGGAGTTGGAAAGGTAATTTCTGGAAGAGGGAACAGAATGATCAAGGAGCAGAGTGGGTTTGGAGTTCAGAAGTTTAGGCTTGCGTGGCTTATGCATAGGGGACATGGCATCAGAGACATGGCTAGGAAAATAGATTGGGGCCAGACTGAGGGAGGCCCTGAATGATCTGTGAAGGAATTTGGGGTCTGTTTCTATAGATGATGAAGAACCTCTCCTTTTTTTCTAAACTGGTTTAAGAAAATGATTCTGGCAGTAATGTTGGTTTGAAGAAGAGAGGTAAGAGAGGCAGGATGAGCAGTTAAAAGGAAGGAGAGAGAGGGAATCCAGCTTGAACAAGAGGCAGTAAAAATCTGAGTAGGAGGGTCTCATTGTTAAAGAAGGCCCCAATGTCTCAGATAATTTGGAGTAAGAAGCTGTAAATGAGAGAGTTTCACTCAAGGGCAGGAAAACACTGGGTTCTTTATGATTTCATTCTAGGCTCAGCTACAGTCTTGCTAAGCAATTATGCACAGGTCCTTTAGCTTTGGTTTCTCCATATGTAAAATGTAGAAATGGATTGCTTGCCTTTTTGTGTCACAGGAGTCTGTGTAAGGATTAATGAGCTCTGACAGGAAGACACTTTATTAATCTAAGCCATCAATAATAAAAATGAGAATGTTTGCCAGGTTCTTTTGCTCCTATGTTGAAGGCTGCTATGTAAATATGAAATACTGCCTGGAACTATTGTCATTGTTAATAATAGTAAAGTGATTACCACGAAACGCCTACACAGCAAACTTGTTCTCAGTCAATTCCAAAAAGGCAAGATGAAGCCAGGCATGGAAGTTCATTCCATTTTGTTTATTCTAAGTCTTCCTTATTGTAAACTATTTTCCTGCTTAGTAGAGAAGTCATTTTAACAGTATTTGAATTTCATTGTATCTCATTATTTTTATCACTCTATTCTGGTCACGTATTCCATCGCTATCAGGGACATCATTATTCTGACTTTTCCCTACGCAAATGGAGATGGGACAACATTTGATGTGTCTAGTTACCTGCATCAGTGTTCTTGTCAATTTTGGCTGTTTTCTTCAGTTTAACCCATGGCTGTATAGTCTGTTGGTCAAGTAGGTAAACTCCAGAGTTAAACTGCCTGGGTGTAAATCCAAGTTCTATTATTTTACATGAGATCCTGGTTAGGTCACGTAACCTCTTACGCTTCAGTTTCCTCATCTGTAAAATGGTACTAATAATGGTGCTTTCCCATAAGGTTATTGTGAAGGTAATGAAGGTAAAGCTCATAGCATTAGGTGCTCAGTAGCTGCCGGTGTTTTTTTTTTTTTTCTTTTTTGGTCAATTTTTATTACCATTGTCATCATGTCTTCTCTTTTCCTAATCGGGGTCCTTTACCATTTCTTGTTAATTAATTATTTGTCTTCTAGTAGTTAATTTGTGATAACATAATTGATCATGACCTTTTTATTACCTAGAGTAACATTCTAAAATATCCACAAAAATCTTAAATTTTATTCATTGCTCTTTCATATATTCCTCTTGTGCTTTTCCTCCAGCAAGTCAAGTACTTAATTCTGATATAAATATAAGGGATCTAAAAAGTTTGTCCTAACCATTGACAAGTATTATTTCCTATGACACATTGCCGTCCTCCCACACAATTGTCCTGTAAAGAAAATTGGCTTGCCATTTTCCTTTTTGGACTCATGTATTTATTCTTTTCTCAAGATCTATATCAGTATGTTTCTGTTTTTGCTATTGATCATGTCTCTTAAGACTTCTAAAAATACCTTCCCATATTGTCTCAGATTCATTGAGATCTGTTTGGAACATACACCAAGCCCTTGGTCTAGAGTGCAGAAGCTACAGCCAAGTTTGTGTTATGCTCAGCAAACCAAAGCTCGTCTTTCTAATTTGCACAAAGACTTCAAGAGTATATTGGGCTAGTGTGTGATCCTGTTTCACACCTTATCAATTGTTATCCATTAGTATTGTTAAGTCATGACTGTAAATTCCTGCGGGTTTTGGCTAAGTATATCATTGGCAGATTCTCCTTTGTGTCATAGTTACATAGAATGAATACTCAGCCACCATCTCTCCCTGTGTTGTCCATAACTTCCTTGGGTCATGAACCAAATGAAATCAATGGTCTTGCTTCATGTGAAAAATTGATCCATATTTGCTAATAGAGAATTATATTCTATTCAAATTGTATAGGACATTAAAAATGACTATTGAAAATGCCTGCTAGTAGAGGTGGAAAATGATTGAGTAGTAAGGCAAAACAGAATATATTAGCATTTAATCAGTTCTTTTATGATTCTAGTATTGAGTCTTTCTCTTAGTCACACTGGCTTAGAAACTGTTTAGATGAACATAGCAGAAGGGAGTTTCCTTTTTGAAAATTGTTATCCTCTATCTGGTATTAGGTCACAGAGATGAAAATTTAGCACCTCTGCTTTGTTTACTTTTTAGTATGGGGTACACTTACCTTAACCATATACTAGATGTGTGATATGGTTTGGCTCTGTGTCCCCACCCAAATCTCATGATGAATTGTAATCCCCAAGTGTCAGGGGAGGGACATGGTGGGAGATGATTAGATCATGGGGGTGGATTTCCCGCATCCTGTTCTTATGATAATGAGTGAGTTCCCATGAGATCTGATGGTTTAAAAGTGTAGCACTTCCCTCCTTGCCCTCTCTCTCCTGCGTTGCCGTGGTAAGGTGAACTTGCTTCCCCTTCACCTTCTGCCATGACTGGAAGTTTCCTGAGGCCTCCCAGCCATGCTTCTGTGCAGCCTGATGAACTGTGAGTCAATTAAACCTCTTTTCTTCATAAATTATCTGGTCTTTGGTAGTTCTTTATAGCAGAGTGAAAACGAACTAATACAATATGTGATCTTGGCCAAGTTATCTAATGCTGGTCCCTCAGTTTTCTCCTTTGTATATTGAAAACAATAAAAGCATCCATCCCATAAGGTGGCTGTGATAATTAATTGAGGAAAGAGTTGTAAAGTTATTAGAACTATGCCTGGCACAGAGCAAAACTTTAGTATCTTTTAGCAAGTATCATTACCTACTTGAAATAATATAGTAGTTAAGAGCTTGATTCTGGAGTAGATTGGTAGGCTTTAGTTCTAACTCTATCATTTGTTGCCTAGGTAATTTGTGGATTCACATTTCTGAGCCTCTGTTTCATGTAAATTGGTACAGTAAGAATATCTACCTTCCAGGGTTTATATGAGAAATAAATGGGAAGCACTTAGCATAATTGCTCATTGAATATTAGCTATCATTTTTTATAATCCTTATGACACATGACTTATATAATAATTATAATAGCAAATACTTATGGAGAACTTATTTTGGGTCAGCAATATCTTAAGTATGTTATATACACTATCTCATTTATTCCTCACAATATCTCCAAAGAGATAGGTGCCATTGTTATCCCTACTTTACAGATGAGTAAATTGAGGCACAGAGAAGTTAAGCAACATTTCCAAGGTCCTACAGTGAGAGAATGGTGAAACAAAATCTGTGCATTTATCCATTATGCTCTACAACAATAAAGGAAATAGTTGAATATATTTGGAAAAGAAAATTAGACTGTTAGGCTAATGACTGAGGCTCTCACTGTGTCCTGACCTTTTTCAAACCCTGAATCTATTAATACGGTCAGATAAATCTGGTTCAAATGAAGATTAGTAGGTAGCACTAAAGAAGAAAAGAAGGTAAGGCAACCTCTTAAACACCTGAAACCTCAGTGGTGTGTGTGAAAATGAAGCCTTCAGTCCTTTTTCCCCAAGAAAAGCTCGTTTTATCTTGAGGATGAGGTGGGAGCATGGTTTACTTGAATATTTCCAGTCTTATTTAGCCTCAGCCTCTTCTTCCCTTAGTCACTGCATGCCTCCCTTAGTCACTGCATGACTCTGCCTGAGGCCCCAGGAAGTTGTACATATTTGCTTTAGACCCTGAATGTCCCTGGTGATATTTGGGATGACCTCTTGTTGTACTGCAGCCCTGCCGATACACTGTGTGTAATAGAATAGTGCCTGACTGCAGAGTGTGATTCCTAAGGGCTTCTGCTTTCAAGTCAAACAGAGCAGATTCAGATTCTCAATCTGCTTATATGGGCAAATTAGTTAGCATTTTTAAGACTTGGGTTTTTTTTTTAATCTACAAAATGGGTATGTAGCACATACCTGAGTCTTTGAGAGAATTGAATGTAAAACGTTTTAATACTGTGTCAGGTAGGGAATTTTGTCAACACTAGGCACTAAATTTTGTTAACACTAAACACTAAAAACTTTGAAAAAGATTGGTTTGCTTTGGATCATTACCAAGCACTTTCATCACTGAAATAACAAAATAAACTCAGTTGTTATCATGACAAATGCCCTGGGAGTACTTTTCAGTATAATAAACTAATTTTATTTCTTCATTAACATGTGTACTCCTGGGTGAACCCTACTAGGACTGGGAAGAGCAAGCCGTGGAAAGGCTATAGGGCTTGCACGTACAAGAAAAACATGTGTCTATAAAATAGTACACTGCTGTGTATTTATCTAAGTCAGTATGTGAATGCAGAATCTGAAGCTGGACTCACCCCCAGAGCATGGGAATCCCCACAAGAGCATGCCCCAAACTGTCCTGAGATGGAGCCAGTTGAGATTCCAAAGAAAGAAGCCCAAATACCAGGGTGATCTGTCCAAAACACTTATTAGGGGAACTTACAGAGGGCTGCAGCAGTCCTTGAGATACACAAGACAAAAGGGGCGTTCTACGTAGGTTTGTCTGCAGAAGCGGGTAAGGGTAGGGAGTTCATATGAGGGTTTCAGGAATTCAGCTCAGGGCTAGAGCCAGTTAGTTTTAGTGTTTTGGACAACGACCTAGATGCCTTTATTAGTACTTAGGAATGTTCAAAGCCCCAGTTTGGGTTCAAGCCTGCTGGGAAAAACCTGCGTCTGGCCGGGTCACGAAATGGTCAAGGCAGTCTGAGATTTTCGGTTAGGACACAGAAAGAAGGTGTGTGTGTGGGAGGGGAAGTGGGGGGACACTACTGTGAATGTGCTCTGTAGATTCTCAACTTCTCTGCAAATCTAAGATATTATTTTTATAATTTCCACAGGAAATCTGAGATTAGTTTAGTCAAGGAAGGCCGAGAGGAAGATGTCTTGCCATTATATCTTAAGGAAAGTAGATGGATAGGATTGGAGGAAATTGGAATTTGAGCAATTAGCTGAAAAATGACAAATGTATATTGTAAGAGCATATCTGATAAGGAAAAAATGACCAGTCTGATAGCACTGGATATTTGACATCTATCTGGGCAAATCAATGGAGCCTTGAGTGCTAGGTAGGGAATTCTGGGTGATATTCAGTTGGCCTCAGCACATCTGTTCTTGGGTTCTCCAGGGAATTAGCAAGCAACATTTTCTTTACTGCATGTGGAATGGCAATGGCAGATTAATTGTGTCCTCTACTCCAGCTCTTGATCCAGGCACTTATACAAGGACTATTTGCCATGGTCCCTCCTCCTAGGTTGCAAGCTTGCTCTGGATTATCTGATCATGGTGGGTGCAGATGTCTACCATTTTGAGGACCCATAATTCTCACAACTTTCTATTTCCCCATTCTGTTTTTGGTGTGAAGCAGTTTCTCCTTTACGATTCTCCAAACAAAGAGACTTACTATATACTTTCTTCTGGACATCCACTCACATAAATGTGGATATAGAGTAATTTCTGGGGAGTTAATCTGAATTGACTCATATGTGATTAGCACTTCCTTATTGATCAAGGTGACCACCAACCTCTTATCATTAGTGCAGAAAATCATTTTAAAATTTAATCTATGGCAAGACTTCTAGCTACATTAAACTGAACCATGTAGAGGTAAAGGTAATCTGAAATGCACTGTCAGTTACCATACTGATTCCAAGAATAGATTTTATTGTATTTATTCATTCAACAAATATTTATTGAGTATCTACTATGTGCTAGGTCCTGTTCTAGCTGTGGGAATACAGTAGTGAATATGATTAAAAAATCATTCCTGGCCAGGCGTGGTGGCTCATGCCTGTAATCCCAGCACTTTGGGAGGCTGAGGCAGGTGGATCACGAGGTCAGGAGATTGAGATCATCCTGGCTAACATGGTGAAACCCCGTCACTACTAAAAATACAAAAAATTAGCAGGCGCGGTGGCGGGCGCCTGTAGTCCCAGCTACTTGGGAGGCTGAGGCAGGAGAATGGTGTGAACCTGGGAGGCAGAGCTTGCAGCGAGCTGAGATCGCACCACTGCACTCCAGCCTGGGTGACAGTGCAAGACTCCGTCTCAAAAAAAAAAAAAAAAAAAAAAAAGGAGTCATTCCTGATGTCGTGGAGCTTATATTTTGGTGGAAGGAGACAGAAAACAAACTGGATGAATAAATGAAATATTTTTTATGTTAAATGGTAGGTATGGTCGAGGAGAATGTTGAGCAGAAATATGGAATAGAGAGTGTGGTGGAGGGTTTCAGTTTCAGATAGAGGGATGAGGGAAGACCTCCCTGGCATGTCATTGAGCAAAGACCTTGTTTGATATGATGTCCTAGGCTTGTATTCTCCCTCTCTTGATGATTCCATGTTTGTCCCTTCCAACACTGTTACTTGATAAAAGTGGAAGGAATTCCTGGATAAGACTGTCCTCTGTTCGGTAGTCTGTGGGTAGCCCCAATTACTTGATAGAAGCTCCAAATAAGTTCTCAAGGATCACTTACAAGAAAAAGTGGGGTTGTCAGGCTTAAGTTAAAACATGTAATTCTGCTTAAGATCAGGTCTCAAATAGCTAAGACCAAGTTCTGGAGTTAGTTATAATGGTTTATCTTACCCAAAATACCCACATCACCAACTTAAAACAATTTAAAACATTTTTGTGTTATCCCTCCTCCATAAAATTGATTCTGCCCTTAGCAATTATCTGACATTAATTTATAGAGTAATTTCATGTTCTAGTTGTTTTCCCAAGACATTTCCTTGTTTATCCATTTACTATTTGATTTTAATACAAATTATAATTTTCTTTTTATATTAAAAAATCTTTTGATTCTAGTTTGATTTCCTTGACAAATCTCCAGTCAGGGGGACATCTCTGACATTATATGAATAATGTAGTTGATACAGTTGGGCTCTGTGTCCCTACCCAAGTATCATCTCAATTGTAATCTCCACGTCTGGAGGGAAGGACCTGTAATCCCCACATGTCAAGGGAGGGAGGTGATTGGCTCATGGAGGCGGTTTCCCCCATGCTGTTCTCATGATAGTGAGTGAATTCTCACAAAATCTGATTGTTTTATAAGCATCTGGCATTTCCCCTGCTTACACTTCTCTCTCTTGCCGCCATGTGAAAGTCCTTGTTTCCCCTTCACCTTCTGCCATGATTGTAAGTTTCCTGAGGCCTCCCAGCCATGTGGAACTGTAAGTCCATTAAACCTCTTTTCTTTATCAATTACCCAGCCTCAGGTATGTCTTTATAGCAGTGTGAAAAAAAAAACTAATACAGTACTATATTATTTATGGCAGGGCATGGGGAGAAAGAGGGAGAAAGAAAGGAGTAAGAGAAGAAGAAGAAGGGGGTGAGAGAGGAAGAGCAAGAAGATGAAAAGCAAAAATATTTAAAAAACCGTATTTTTAGTCCGCCATTTCTATTTAGCAAACTTATCTGGTTATCTTTTATTACCTGGGACTCTAAGGCAGAATCATTACAGACAGATTTTAAATTTAAAAAATTATTTTTCACATATTGTTTGTATACCAATGTCTTATACTTGTTTCATATAATGGCATTTGCCTTTAGCTTCTACAACCTTTGCAGTCTTTTAGTTTGAATAGAGTTTGATGTCTACTGCAATGTAACATGTACAACAAATTGTTAATATTTCTTGACCAATTCAAAACATGTATCAGGGATTATCTCAGCTATTTGATAGATTACCTTTCATTTCGTTCAGGCTATGGAGATGAAATTAGAGGCGCAGGGTTGGTGTGTGGAGATGGGTATTGACAGTCAATTCTCCCAGATAATATAACAGGTAAGTTCTGATAGGCAATGATGCTTTCTCCTTCTTTTCCATTATGTATTTTCCTGTTGGCATTAATCATATTCCTCTTCTTCTACAGATTTACATACAAATATATATATAACATACATGTGAAAGACTATTATTCTAGGCATTGAGTTCAGAAAAGGTCTTGTCCTCAAGAGATTATAGTCTGGTGAGGGAAACAGACATTTTCTTTCATAGTAGGTATCACAGTTTCCAATTATTTATTTGCATGCTAACCTTCAATATTTGAATAAATTATAAGAAAACAATATTTTCAGGAGACTGCAGTTAGTTTTTTTTTTTGTTGTTTTTTTAATGAGCATAGGGTACTGAATATACTGTGGGTGTCAGAGGAAGTCTCCTTGAGGAAACGTGTTTGGATAGGAATAGTCAGATGAAGTGGGGAGGTTTGTGAGGTGGAAAAAAGTTCCAGGCTGAGGAAACAGCATATGTGAAGGTCCAGTGGGGACAGAGATTTGAAGAGATGAAAGTTGTGTAAGAGGGAGAGGGATAATAAATGAGGCTTAAGAAGTATGCAGGGTCAAATTACATTATGAAGAGCTCTGTGGGCCATATTAGTTATGACATGGAAGACTTTTAAGTGGAGTCACAGACACAAGCAGATTTGAGCATTTGAAGAGTGCTCTCTTTGCTATGTGGAAAATGTTTAGGGAAGGATAAGACTGACAGTGAAGGTACAAGGTGGTCCAGGAGAGACATAGTGGTGACCTAGACTAGACTGACACAGTTAGAAGAGGAGGGGATGTTCTCAAAAACAGTAAGGAGGTAGGTAGAATCTGCAGGACTCGTTTGCATTTGGAAGATGAGGGGAATGACAGTCAGGCATGATTCTTGCTTTCTGGCTTGGATGCCTGTGTGGGAGGTGGTTGCAATTTTAGAGAAAGAGAACACTGAGGAGGAACAGGCTTGGAAGGAAGAAGTTGAATTCATCTGTGGACATGTTGAATTTGAAATATCCAGCAGGCAGTTGCATACATATGTTTATTGTTCAAGAAATAGGCATGGGCTGGAGGTTATGGTGAGTCCTCATCACTAAATAGGAGGATAATGGGGCAAAGAGAGATTCTAGGAACAAACCTTGACAAATACCAACAAAGAAGAAGTGACCAGAGAAGGAGCATAATGATAATAATAATAATAATAGTGGTAAAAGTTAAAACATATATGACACTTACTATGTGCCAGGCACTGTGTTATGTGTTTTTACATATATTAGATCAATTTAATCTTCTTGAGAGGTTGGTGCTACTGTGATCCCTGATTTTACAGATGAAAAATATGTGAGCCCCAGAAAGGTTAAGTAACTTAGAGACTGTCACCAACCAGTATATGGTAGAGCTGATTTAAAACCAGGCATCCTAGCTTCAGAGATTGTGGGCTTTTTCTGTATATTCTACTGGAAAGCATGGGAGTGCACTGTCCAGAAACTCTGGGAAGAGAGGGAGTTATCAGCCTTGTTGCTGCTTAGAGGTCAAGGAAGATTAAGGCTGAAAGTTGCCCCTTAGGTTTAGTGACATTTGCCATTTATAAGAACATGCTTGCTGTCATGACAGCCTGAGAAGGCAGACAGCAGTAGGCTGAGGGCCTCCTGGGAGATGAGTAGTGTAGTGTAGATGATGCTGTCCAGAACTTTGGCTGGAAGGTGAGGAGCTAGGACTAGGAGAATTCTCAACTCCTCATGACTGGGAAAAAAGGCATGGAAAGGATTTGATTTCGGGGCAGAGCAGAGAGGGGTTCTTTATGAGAGGAATGAAATTGGTTTGATGCCTATCAGAACTCTCCTGTTATATTATCTGAGAGTATTGACTGGCCCATTTCTCTTATTCTAGAAATCGTTTTCTAGAAGGAAGCGGGTATGGCCTAACATATTTATAAAGTAATACTTGATTATATGTTATTGAATTTGTTGGTTTTTAAAAAAATCTCTACAGCTGGGTGCAGTGGCATGCGCCTGTAGTCTCAGCTACTTGGAAGGCAGAAGTAAAAGGATCCCTTGTGCCCAGGAGTTTGAGGGCAGCCTGTGTAAAATAGCAAGATCCTGAAGATCCTGTCTCTAAAAATAAACAAAAACAAACAAACAAAACTCCGCAGCCATACAATGATTAGTTGACTACCATTACCTATTAGTCAGCAGCCTTAAATTTGGATGCAAAACCTATGGCCAGAAACAAACAGATTTGTGACTTCTCTCTTGAGAACCTTGGGAACAAATACATTATGAATTTTAACCAGCCATAAATGGAGTGCTTTCACCCAGGGCTTTTCCTTGTAATTTCAATCAGGTTTAATTTTGACCGTAGGCTTTTGTCTAGGTTGGTTAGATCACCATCTCTGTTATAACCTCCAAATTATTAAAAAGCTCTTCTGAAAGATTTTATGGAAGGTTACGGCATGAAATGGCCTATTTCTCTGTGGGAAGGCAGGGCTCAGAAAAATGTGACAAACGTCACAGTGGAACTGTGCTGTGTCAAACCACAAGTGGTGCCTCCATACGAAGGTGGACTGAAACGTATCCTCTAAAATTAGGTGTAATTTCATGGGTGATATTCTTTCCTTTTTCTATTACTGAGAGCTGAGATTACTGAGAACACTTTTACATTGAATGTTAAAGCATGTTGATTCTACACATTTTTTTCTTCCCAATCCTAAATCCACAGCATGTGTTTGATGAGATTTTAAAACTTTTTAGAATAATTAAAAAAATAACTTCCCAATGAAGGAGAATGATTTATAAAATGATGCATTTAAATGTAAAGTTTCATTTAAGGTAAAGTGTTATTTCAAACAAGTTTATTTAAAGTTTTATTAAACTTATTTAAATGTAATATGCATTTAAATATAATTTATTGTTTTAATATCTTAATTTTTTTGTACTTCTAGTTTGTGTGTGTTGAAATATTTGCAGTATATTTGCATATTATTTGAAAGAAATTGTGTACCATAAATGGAGCTTTGCTATTATGGCTAAATGCACATTTTTACAAAAAAGTGTGAGATTATCTGCTAATCACTCCAGAATCCCATTTAGTCATTAAAAATGTAAAGGGAATTAATGACAGAAAGATACAGTTAATGATTAAATGAAATGTAGTTATAAACACAGCAAAGTATAAGCAAAAGCAGCTAAAGCATCAATTTGGTACAGCTTTTTTTTTCCTTCTAAACAGGCCTTGTAGATAATTATACTTCTTGAATCATTTGTCACATTGTACATTTGTTCACATTACCTATAAAGCATATTTCATGAGGTTCATTTCATGATTGATTTGTTACTCTTAATAAAAAGTGCTTGAGTCTGCCCCTGTTAAAAGAATTCAGTGACTTTTTGCTTGAGAAAATTCATAGCGAATATTCTTTGTTGGATGAAAAACAGGGCAGTGATGCCAACTGAGAACGTTTTTCTTTTCAGTTCTGGGACTGACTTTGAGAGAGAAGGAACACCTTGTGCTCTCATGGTGCGCTGCTCACATCCTAAGCTTAGTATCTTTTCTGAGAGAGAGAAACATGTGGTTTTTCCAGTTTGGGCCTATTCTGACAAGACTCTGCTGTTGAGTTTATAGGCTGATTAAAGGGTACAGAGGGAACTCTGTAATTATGCTCATACTTGAACATGGCTATATATCATGTTTGAGAAATTTCCTGTATTCAAAGAAAATAACCAAGCTGGTCCTATGTTCTGTTTTGCCTGCGTGCCACTAAGTGAGAAAATGTATGTTCCTTTCCTGCTTCAGCTGTTGTTTACTTTGTACAGAATTTTCTACTCCTTTGAAAACGACCATTTTTCTGACTCTTATGGTTTGGTGAGAGTCTGAGAAAGGCTTTGGCTTTAAGAACTTTCCTGGTGGTTTAAGTCAAGCTTGAGAGAGAAAGTCATTGTTCTCCCTGTCCTCATACTTCCCTTTTCAGCTTCCTTATAAAGATGGGTAGTTATGACCTGCACTCTAGCTAAGTTTATCCCAACAGTCTTGAACTACTTGTCAACATTTATGTTTTCCCACTGGTATTTTTTTTCAAATCATTATTCATTCAACAAATATTTATTATCTATTACATGCTAGCTATTGTGCTATAATTCTAAGATGAGGATGAAAAGGATAAAGTATTTACACACAATCTTTTTGTATCCAGAAAGAACGCCAACAAGTATGTTGAACATATTTTAATTAACTTAAGAATTTAAAAATAAATTTAAAACACGAATTCCCCATTATGACTATGTCAAATTAACCTATAGTAATGAAAACAGCAGTGGTCTCTTGTATTAATCGGTTCTCACGGTCCTATAAAGAACTGCCCAAGGCTGGATAATTTATAAAGGAAAGAGGTTTAATTGACTCACAGTTCCACATGGCTGAGGAGGCCTCAGTAAATTTCAATCGTGGCAGAAGGGGAAGCAAACACATCCTTCACATGATGATAGGAAGGGGAAGTGCTGAGCAAAGAGGGAAAAGCCCCTTATAAAACCATCAGATCTCCTGAGAACTCACTCACCATCATGAGAACAGCAGCATGGGGGTAACCGCCCCCATGATTCAATTACCTCCCACTGGGTCCCTCCCATGACGTGTGGGGATTATGGGAAATACAGTTTGAGATGAGATTTGGGTGAAGACACAGACAAACCATATCATCCATATAGTTTATCTTAGTCTGTACCAGGGCTTCCCTTAGGAGTGAGAGAGCAGAGAGGGAAACCTAATGACAAAGATAAAATTTGTGTTGAAAGCCTGCTGCTTGCATCTGCTTTGATTCACTTGGTAAATCCTGTTAGGTTGAGAAGTTCATAAAACTAGCAGGCTTCTGAACTATTTATGAATTTGTACTTAAACACACACAAAAAAACTGAAAACAAGCACTGTATAAATTAGTTCCAATGGAAAGACATTGATTATTCTGAACGGACACAGCACAATACACCTCTATGTGACTTCTCACACATGCAGATTCTCATTTTCAGGGATACGGACACATGTGTACACACACTCATATACAGCCGCACATTCCTGTGTATTCTCTTTGCCGGCCCACCAAACTGAACTTTCCTGAATTAGGGACATAAAATTCTACTAAATTAAAAGTCTGGAGAATATATGCCTCTGCCCATCTTTATCCCAGTAAGATTGAACTATTAGTGGCTTCATTGCTTGTGATATTTATAACATTAGGTATAATTTCAAATTAGCATTTGAAAATAATATAATAAGAGACATTCTTAAGATATGATGGGTTTTCCCAAAAAGTGCTATATTGACTAATTGATTTCATTTTTGGAAGGTAGAAATGAGGTTATCGGTGGAGACTAGAGGATAAGGTTATTCAGCAAGCCTAAGGAAGAAAGGCAAATTGTGACTCCGGATCTCTGCATAAGCATATGGCAGATGGCACAGTGGAGAACAAGGTGATAAGAACAGGCAGAGAAAAGTCACACTGTCATAAGCCCCAAACTGGGATCTCTCGTTGCTGCTGGCTTGGACCAAGCTCAAGACCTTGCCCTTGCCCATAATAAAAAGCTGCAGACAGTAAAGGCTGCACATATCTTACTTCTTACAATACAATGATGGCTGCATCCTTAAATAAAATTGTAATATAACTGCACAATTTAGTGTCTCTAGATTAAATGTAGTTTTAATCTCTATAATAATAAAAATATAAAAAAGGGTAGAACCAAGAGATCAGTGAATTAAAAACCAATTAATCAGCTGACTGAGATGTGCTTAAATATATTTAACACATTTGTGGAGAAGGTTACCATACCAATAGAGTTTACAACATTTCGTACACTTTAAATAAATATTGATGTTTGTCTTAGTCTATTTTGTGCTTCTATAACAGAATACCACAGACCAGATAATTTATAAAGCACAGAAGTTTATTTTTTCACAGTTCTGGAGGTGGAGAGGTCCAAGAACAAGGTACCAGCATTTGAGGTCTGGTGAGGGCCTTCTTGCTGAGTCCTCACATAGAAGGTAGAAGGGCAAGCTAGGTGAATACTATAGGAAGCCTCTTTTTTATTTTATTTTTATTTTACTTTAAGTCCCGGGATACATGTGCAGAACATGTAGGTTTGTTATATAGGTACACATGTGCCATGGTGGTTTGCTGCAGCTATTAACCCATCATCTAGGTTTGATGCCCCCTCGTGCGTTAAGTATTTGTCCTGATGCTCTCCCTCCCTTTGCTCCCCTCCCCTGACAGGCCCCGGTGTGTGATGTTTCCCTCCCTGTGTCCATGTATTCTCATTGTTCAGCTCCCACTTATGAGTGAGAATATGCGGTGTTTGGTTTTCTGTTCCTGTGTTAGTTTGCTGAGGATGATGGTTTCTAGCTTCAACCATGTCCCTGCAAAGAACATGAACTCATCCTTTGTTATGGCTGCATAGTATTCTACGGTGTATATGTGCCACATTTTCTTTGTCCAGTCTATCATTGATGGGCATTTGGGTTTGTTTCAAGTCTTTACTATTGTAAATAGTGCTGCAGTAAACATATATGTGCATGTGTCTTTATAGTAGAATGATTTATATTCCTTTGGGTATATACCCAGTAATCAGATTGCTGGGTCACGTGGTATTTCTTGTTCTAGATCCTTGAGGAATCGCCACAGTGTCTTCCACAATAGTTGAACTAATTTACATTCCCACGAACAGTGTAAAAGCGTTCCTGTTTCTCCACAGCCTTGTCAGCATCTATTGTTTCGTGACTTTTTAATAATCTGCATTCTGACTGGCATGAGATGGTATTTTCATTATAGTTTTGATTTGCATTTCTCTAATGATCAGTGATGTAGAGCTTTTTTTCATGTTTGTTGGCTGCATAAATGTCTCCTTTTGAGAAGTGTCTGTTCATATCCTTTGCCACTTTTTGATGGGGTTGTTTGTTTCTTTCTTGTAAATTTGTTAAAGGAAGCCTGTTTTATAAGGGCTTTAATCTCCTTCATGAGGAAAGAGTCCTCATGACCTACTCACTTCTTCAAGGACCCACCTTTTAATACTATCACAGTGGCAACACCTGAAGTTTGGAGAATGCATTCAAACCATAGGAAGATTTTATAAGAAATAGTTTTTGTTTTATATTATTATTATTACTATTTTTGAGCAAGAGTCTCACTCTGTCGCCTAGCTGGAGTGCAGTGGTGTGATCTTGGCTCACTGCAACCTCCACCTCCTGGGTTCAAGCAATTCTTCTGCCTCTGCCTCCCAATTAGCTGGGATTACAGGTGCCCACCACCATGCCCAGCTTTTTTTTTTTTTTTTTTGTATTTTTAGTAGAGATGGGGTTTCGCAGGGTTGGCCAGGCTGGTCTCAAACTCCTGACCTCAGGTGATCTACCCGCCTTGGCCTCCCAAAGTGCTGAGATTACAGGGGTGAGCCACCGTGCCTAGTCAGAAATAATATTTAAAATGTGTAGTAGCACACTACTTAATTAAATAAGCATTATGTAGGATATTGAAATAATGTTGCCCTTCAAAGACCTGTATTCAATACAAGAATGAAACTTATAAATGTTTAAACATTTGCAAAAAAAAAAGATAGTAATTCTGGGGGAAGTGTTGGCTAGTACAAGACAGACATTTTACTGTGGCATGGTGGCTCGGACTGAAGAAAAAATTCATATTTTTTAAAAAATGAGATAAAAGTGAGATAATTTTTTGGGGGGTGAGATAATCTGTGCTAAAAAAAAATTAAAGGTATCCCTGTTTGGTAAACTTCACTTGGAATATTCAAAGTCTCCAAGATTTGTAAAATTTAATGAAATATTTGACTTTAGGCTGGGCACAGCGGCTCATGCCTATAATCCCGGCACTTTGGGAGGGTAAGGTAGGGGGATATCTTGAGCCCAGGAGTTTGAGACCAGCCT
Source organism: Homo sapiens (assembly GCF_000001405.40). Lineage (NCBI taxonomy): Eukaryota > Metazoa > Chordata > Mammalia > Primates > Hominidae > Homo > Homo sapiens. Next base: position 86,327,183 of record NC_000004.12, on the reverse strand, counting down.
GGGCAACATAGTGAGTCCTCTCTCTATCCAAAAAAAAAAAAAAAAGTTAGCTGGGTGTGATGGCACATGCCTGTAATCACAGCTACTCTGGAGGCTGATGTGGGAGGATGGCTTGAGCCTAGGAGGTCGAGGCTGCAGTGAGCCATGATCACATCACTGTACTCCAGTCTGGGCAACAGAGCGAGATGGATTCCCTACTAAATGAAATAAAAAGACTTACAGTCCTTGTATATTACATGCATTCCTGCTGCACAGATATAAAGAGGCTCTTAAAGTTGATTTAAGAACACTGAAAGTAATATAACAAGGAACAAGGTTGTTAAATACTTACAGTGTAGATTTAAAATCAAGTAATTGTGTGTATTTTCTGCACCACTGGATGTTTATACAATTGTTAGCATAAACTGTGTGTTCCATTTTTCATTAGCAATTTTATCTCCCTACTGAATGCTAGACTTTTAGTTGTTATTTGTTATAGCTTAATTTGTTTCCCAACAGTGAAAAGAGATATGGACTTGTAGATTTTCAGCTATTTCATCTTACAAAGCTAGTGTAACCTGACTACAGATGACTCCAGGGGTATATTACTTTAAAAGGAATTTGGACTATTACTCAGCAGTCTGTAAGACACATTCTTTTTTCAGCATTTAGGGGGAGTTGAGAGAAGCTATGGCAAGCCATCTCACCATTAAATCTCCTCTACACCACTGCTGCCCTGGCTCAGACCCTTACCATCTCTCAGGGAAGCCATTGCAATTCCTTCCCTATTGGTCCTCCCCACAGTGTGACTTATCAGACACACTGAAATCAGAGTAAATTTTCTAGAATAGATTAGACCATATCTCTTCCTTGCTTACATGCATCCAGTAGGTACTTCCATAAAGCCGACATTTTAAAGCACAGTAGTCAAGTCACATAGTCTTGCCAGCCTCATCTTCTGCCCCTGTGAACCCGAGACCCTGCTTGTTCCCCAAACAAGCCATGTTCTTTCATGTGTTTCCTTTTGACTGGAATGTTCTCTACTTGTTAACTCCAGCCTCTGACTGGGTAAGGCACATACATTTTGCAATGTCATTGCCTCTGTGAAGGTCTTCCTGGAGTTTCCCACACCCAACAAAAATATTGCTGTATTTTCTTGGTCCCAGTAGCTCTACAACATATCTTTATTATAGCCCTTAACATTTATTGTAATTTTGAAATGTCTACTTCCCTTTGACTGAGAAATTCTCAAGGGTAAGGCTGTTTTCTTCTTGCTGGTCCTCTGACATGCTGCATGAACACAGTAAGTGCTCAGTATAAATTAGTTGACAAATGATTAAATTATGCTTAGAGTTTTTGCTTTATAAAAGTTTAAATATTATTTTCTTTGTGTATAATTTATCCTATTTGATACTAACACATATGTATTACTATTATAAGTCATTTTAGCATTGTTTAAGGAAATAATTATGGTGACATGAATTAAGGGGCAATATTCTATTCCAAATTGTTTTTACTTAAGAGCTGCTTTACATTGAAACTGCAACAAAAATAGGAATGTTCTAATGTCATTTTTATTTTAAAATTCAGATACAGTCATATCTTTTTGAAATCTATTAATTCTTAGGTCTAAGCTCATGCATTTTTATAATTAACACTCATAAATAGGGCTGTATTTAGTAACATATTTGTTGATGATGTTAATTCAATAAATGAAATTTCAGAGGCAGTGTAGTATGGTGGTTAAGCAAGCTGGCTTTAGAGCTAAACTGGGTTTAAATATTGCCTCCACTAATTACTGGTTGAATAACTTTCAAAAGCTACTGTGCCTCAATTTCTTTTTCTTTTGAATGGAGATAATAGTAGTGACCTTCCTTATAGGATTGTTTTGTGAATTAATTATTTCATGTAAAAGTGCCTGGGCACCCAGTAAAGTCAGTAAGTACTAACTCTTATTATTATTGTTCCTATATTACTGTACTCATTTCTTCCTCTGTGATCTATGAAATCCTGGTTACTTAATTATTGGTGTGGCGTGCTTTATTTTTTTTATGAGTATTTTCCAGTACAAGTTGCAGCTTTAGTTGGAAGCTCATAGGTATAGAAGAAGATTTAATTAAATTTATAACAGAGAGAGAGTTGGAAATTAGAAACTAAATTGAAATCTCTATTTCCTTTGTGTAAAAGTCCTTGTCTGAAACAGTAGGCAATTTAGAAGTCAATATGCACAAAGTGCAATGGCTCAAGTCTGAGAGCTTGTTCAGACTGTAAACTAAAAAAAATATTGAAATGGACAAGTTTTGCTATGAAGAGCGAGTTTTATAGTCTATGTGTATATGTGTCTATGTGTGTGTATAAAGATAGTATTTTAGAAAGTACCTAGATTGCACCTAGATTGTAAGTAGAGGCAAGGAATTCATAATGAAGAATTCCTGGAAAGAGGACTAAGAAATCGGGGGGAAACAAGTTTATTAATAATGCTCTTTATGATAGAATTTATTCGATGGATTTTATGGATAATGTGAGTTTCTCAGGTTTATAGAGATAGAAGATATTCTTTTTAACGTAATAATTTATCTGATTATTATGTGAGCAAAATGACAGAAAATAATTTCTGAGAGGAAGGAGAGATAAGACTGAATGAATGATACGATTAATATTTTCCCAGCTCTAATCATACCTCTGCTTATCTGCTGCCTTTTTTATTGGACACCCCCTTCTAGTAACTATCAAAAGTAGTGTAAGGGACCTGAAAACAGATTACAGATCTTTTTTTTTTTTATTTTTTTGAGGTGGAGTTTCCCTTGCTCTTGTTGCCTAGGTTGGAGTGCAATGGCACGATCTTGGCTTACAGCAACCTCTGCCTCCTGGGTTCAAATGATTCTCCTGCCTCAGCCTCCCGAGTAGCTGGGATTACAGGCAGGCACCACCATGCCTGGCTAATTTTGTATTTTCATTTTAGTAGAGAGGAGGTTTCTCCATGTTGGTCAGGCTGGTCTCGAACTCCTGACTGCAGGTGATCTGCCTGCCATTGCCTCCCAAAATGTTGGGATTACAGACTTGAGCCAGTACGCCCGACCTAAACTAGCTCTTATAATGTATAAAATGCCCTTCTCTTAAACTCTGATGTTGATGTTGCTTCTCTAAAACCTTTGCTGGGAACTTTCTACCTCAAAGAGAAGCTGTACAGTTTTATTATACTATTTAGATTTAGTTATTTCAGTTTTATTATACTATTTAGATTTGGTTAGTACCAGAGAATTATTAGTCTAACCCTGCATTCTAATGATGGCAAAGAAATAGTCCTGCGACATCCCACTTGAATTTCTTGTAAGTAGATTATTTCTCTTTAGATTAAAATATTATTTTTACACAAATTTTCTCAATGTATATTTTCTTTAGTGGTTCAACTCTTAATTATTCTGAAATCGACTTTTGAGTTATATGCCTAAAAGTAGTATACTGTTGAATAAAATAGCAAAATAATTTTTGATAATGCTATTATTATATTGGATCTTCTTTCCAGGCACTAAAGCCTCAGAGACTATGACTGGGAACTTTGTGTATCTTTAGTTTAATTCTTTTCTAATTACAGTCATCTCTGGAATTTCTAGATTTTGTATAGACTGCTGTAGGAGTGATTATGATTTTGAATCTGATAGACTCGGTTTAAACATTGATTCTGAAACTTGCTTTTTATATGATCTTGGACAGGTTAGTTCTTCAAGATGCTCAACATGATTTGGTGAGATTTAAATGTGATTACCTACATAAAACACTTAGCTCAATGCCTGGCACAGATTGGCAAACACCACTTCTAATTGATGTCAGATTTGTGCCTTGCCTTACCTGCCATGAATTAACAATAGAAATAAAATGTGACCACATTTAGAGACTTCGAGATGACACAGATCTTGCTTCAAATGGACTGTAAGGAAGAGAGCAAAGAAAATGCTTACCTTTCATTACCAGCACTTCCTTTCCAGCATGTATGATGATAAATGCTAATTTTTATTTATCTTTGAGACGGAGGCTCCCTCTGCCACCCAGGTACCCAGGCTGGAGCACAGTGGAACAACCTCAGCTCACTGCAACCTTCGCCTCCCAGGTTCAAGAGATTCTCCTGCCTCAGCCCCAGAGTAGCTGGGACTATAGGCGCATGCCACCACACCCAGTTAATTTTTGTATTTTTAATAGAGATGGGGTTTCACTATGTTGGCCAGGTTGGCCTCGAACTCCTGACCTCAGGTGATCCTCCCGCCTTGGCCTCCCAAAGTCCTGGGATTACAGGCGTGAAGCTCGCAATGCTAATGCTAATTTTTAAAATGGATGATTTTCTTCCCTGATATCTGAAAAGTAACATTTTTCTATTTCCTGGCATAAATATTTCAAATATGGAATGACTTCGATGAGCATATAAGCCACATTTATTAGCTTTAAAAACCCCAGGAAAGAGAATGGGGTTTACATCTTATTACTTATCAGTAATAAGATGCTGTAGTAGCATGAGAAATAATCCTTGCCTGATAAAAAACCATCTGAAACAAACAGTAAACCTCTGCTATTGCTGCTGAGTCTCAGAACTGGGCACTTAGTCATACAAACAAACGTGGAATTGAAATTGAATTTGGCCACAGGAGTGCCTCCAAGGTACTGTCGCTTCTTCTCTTTTGAGTTCTTCAAAGAGGTCAGACTTGAGCAGAAGGATGTTAGACTTTTTTATAGGCATCGTTCAGGTTGGGTTGCTTCCTCCTCACCAATTAATTTATGTTAGACGTTCGTAACTGCACATCTCCTTTTTTTCTGCTGCTTTATTCTCTGAGTTCTATAAATAGAATCTCTGCAGAATGTATGCTAGCTGACTAGATTGTGTTCTAAAATGCTTCATGTGTAAGAGACATAGTCTCCTGTGAAGTGAGAAGCTGATGCAGAAAAGAAATGCCAAGGACAAACAAATGCAAATTTTTCTGCTGTTTTTCTGATTTGTAAACAATGTTGTCAGAAGCTGTTCCTTAAATAGTTTCTCATGACACAAAACATGCTACAGTGCTGCTTAAACATGTGCACTAATTTGGGGCTATATTTTAGTTATCATGGATTAAGACATATGATTTAATGGAATTATGAATATTTGATTACAGTGGCATTTAAAATTAATCTGATTATATTTTACAGAACTCAATTTTTCTATTTAAAAAAGGAGATCTAGGATGGGTGTGGCGGCTTATTCTTGTAACCCCAGCACTTTGGGAGGCTGAGGAGAGAAGATTGCTTGAGGCCAAGAGTGTGAGACCAGCCTGGAAAACATACTGATATCCTGTCTCTGTTTAAAAAAAAAAAAATTTAAAAATTTAAAAGGAGGTATGTTACAAATGAGAGCAGTACATATCTGTCTTGGGGTTACAAAACAGGTTTACAATTTATTTAGGATATTTAGTAGAACCACTCATATAGATTCTTTTTTTTTTAATTATACTTTGAGTTTTAGGGTACATGTGCACAATGTGCAGGTTAGTTACATATGTATACATGTGCCATGCTGGTGTGTTGCACCCATTAACTCGTCATTTAGCATTAGGTATATCTCCTAAAGCTATCCCTCCCCCCTCCCCCCACCCCACAACAGTCCCCAGAGTGTGATGTTCCCCTTCCTGTGTCCATGTGTTCTCATTGCTCAATTCCCACCTTTGAGTGAGAATATGCGGTGTTTGTTTTTTTGTTCTTGCGATAGTTTACTGAGAATGATGATTTCCAATTTCATCCATGTCCCTACAAAGAACATGAACTCATCATTTTTTATGGCTGCATAGTATTCCATGGTGTATATGTGCCACATTTTCTTAATCCAGTTTATCATTGTTGGACATTTGGGTTGGTTCCAAGTCTTTGCTATTGTGAATAGTGCCGCAATAAACATATGTGTGCATGTGTCTTTATAGCAGCATGATTTATAGTCCTTTGGGTATATACCCAGTAATGGGATGGCTGGGTCAAATGGTATTTCTAGTTCTAGATCCTTGAGGAATCGCCACACTGACTTCCACAATGGTTGAACTAGTTTACAGTCCCACCAACAGTGTAAAAGTGTTCCTATTTCTCCACATCCTCTCCAGCACCTGTTGTTTCCTGACTTTTTAATGATTGCCATTCTAACTGGTGTGAGATGGTATCTCATTATGGTTTTGATTTGCATTTCTCTGATGACCAGTGATGGTGAGCATTTTTTCATGTGTTTTTTGGCTGCATAATTGTCTTCTTTTGAGAAGTGTCTGTTCATGTCCTTCACCCACTTTTTGATGGGGTTGTTTGTTTTTTTCTTGTAAATTTGCCATATGTAGAAAGCTGAAACTGGATCCCTTCCTTACAGCTTATACAAAAATTAATTCAAGATGGATTAAAGACTTAAACGTTAGACCGAAAACCATAAAAACCCTAGAAGAACACCTAGGCATTACCATTCAGGACATAGGCATGTGCAAGGCTTCATGTCTAAAACACCAAAAGCAATGGCAACAAAAGCCAAAATTGACAAATGGGATCTAATTAAACTCAAGAGCTTCTGCACAGCAAAAGAAACTACCATCACAGTGAACAGGCAACCTACAAAATGGGAGAAAATTTTCGCAACCTACTCATCTGACAAAGGGCTAATATCCAGAATCTACAATGAACTCAAACAAATTTACAAGATTCTTTATTATCCAAAGTTCTAAGTCATTGATACCATTCTTTCTGACAAAAAGTGTAGATATTCTATTTGATTTGGTTATTAGAGTATTTGAGAGCCTGGAATAGAAATAAGCCTCACTGCTGAAACTGTGAATCAAGTTCTATCACTGCAGGCTCTCATTAAGGTTTTGAATCATAATACACTGTAGTTGCAATTGCATCCCAACAATCTAGGTGCAGTGGAACCTTATCTCTTTGATCTCATAATTTCTGAACTATAGATTGGGAGATATATTTTCAAATTAAAGACCATGTTAACTGGAAAAACCTAAGATATCTAGCCTGATAGCTACATTTTACGGATGTGAAAAACCACAGATTGGATGAGTTAGCTGACTTGTCTAAGGTCATACAGCCACTTAGTAACAGAACTAGACTCCAGGTTTCGTGCCTCCCAATACCACCGTTGCTCTTGAAGTTTGACTACTTCTCATTACTTTCAAGAGCTTTCTCTAAGGAGACAACTTTTTGAAACATCTGAGTCTGCAGCAGAGACTGAGAAGGACTTGGGTGTAAGTGGTATATTTTGGAAGTCACTTTAGAGGGACAGGAGTGAGGGAGAGAGTAGAAAGAGAGATAGAGGAAGAGGTTTCTGCCTTGGGCAGTAGGGCTTGATTGATCAAGACTTCCTGAAGGCAAATCAGGTATCCCAGGGTTGTCTTTACAAGGACTTGAGGCAGAAGCACTTGGGAGCATTAGCTGCCATCCCTCATTGATTGAAGATTGCCCCTGGGGACATTAACTCTTCTAGTACTTCAGAATGGGCTTGTTCAAGGGCTGAGCAGGTTTCCTTGGAGTTGAGAAGGCCCCAGCCATAAAGAAGAAAGGTATGGTGCCTCCTGGATTCAGGTTGCTGCCAAAAAAAGTCATGTCTGAGCTTGTTTGGAACTGTCCACTGCAGCTGAGGCTGAAAAATCAGAGATGAGTGAAAGGAAGTGGCTAAGGGCACCAATAGGGGCTGACTTTCTCATAATATCATGTGATTGCACTGCTTCAAATTTTTACAATGGAATGACTTAGAAAGTTCCATCCCTTATTCAAGAGTATTTATTCTAGTTATTTTGCATGAATTTTCTGAAATGGAGAAATGTATGTCTCCATCCTTGCTAGGTGAGGAATGTTTTCAGTCTTTGGACTCTGAAATGAATTTTCAGCAGTTTCTCTCTATAATTCCTGTTCTGTTCTTCTTCACTTCTGGCCCCGGCACGGCTTCTCCCTTTACCCTTCTCAGTTAATTTGCCTGCCTACTTCCCATATTCTCTTGTGTTCCCTAGTTCTCACCTCCCAGGTCCACCTTACTTGTCTCTTCCTTTATCAATAGATTTTCCATTCTCCAACCAACGTTTTACCCACCCTGTTTCAGTGGAAGTGATGTATTGAAATGCTATTTTAATCTTTTGAAACTTTGAACTGAAGAATGAGTGTTGGTCCCTTCTGCTATTTAACTTCTGAGATACCCTCCAACTCAGAGGTTCAATAAACATAGATTCAATAAACATAGAAAACTCCGCCTTTCTACTTAGAGTTGGAAGGGACTTTAGAGATAATCTAGGCTGTCCCACTTTAATTTTCAAGTGAAGAAGTGCTATGGAGAGAGATTATGCAACCTGTTCAGGTCCCACAATTAGTAATGGCAGGGCTGTGATGATTACTTAGGGATCTTTCCAATGTGTCATACTGCCAGCCTAATATAAATTATTAATTTATGTAAATGTCTGTAAATTGCAAACTTCTGGTGGCTAGAGGCTAGATCTATTTACTTGATTTATGTAAGTGCTACCATAGGCACAGTAATAGATAACATAGTAACTGTCAGACAAGATCAGAGAAACCCTTCAAATGATGCAAGGAAATGGGGGACAAGGCCTTTCTGTCATCTCTTCTTCTTTTTCCACTGTGTGACTTTGGGCAGATTATTTCTCCTTATTATATTATTTAGCTTTCTCATAGGTCTTCCCATGGATTACTGAAGTGTTTAAATCTATACTTTAAAACGCATGGGGCAAGAGAGCCTAAAATCAGCCAATTTTTTATAATTTTGAACTTTCTCTAATTCAAAATTTGAAACTTTCTCTAGTTCAAAATAGTTTTTTTAGTTTTGTTATGAGTGGGTTTCTCCAAATACCCCAAATTATGATACTCCTTTAAAATATGTAGGCAACGAAAACTCACTGGAGAATATTGTTTATTCTCCAGTGGTTACTGCTATTTTGAATTCTACATAAAATCAACCCTGAATAGGTTAGCTGCTATATAAAATGGAATACTGTCCCCTCAAAATTTATGTCCACCAGAAACCTATGGATGTTATTTTAATTTTATTTGGAGAGACGGTCTTTGGAGATGTAATCAGGTTAAGATGAGGTCCTACTGGATTTGAGAGGGCCCCTAAATCCAATATAATTGGTGTCCTTATGAGAAGAGGGAAATGTGGACACAGAGACGCAGACACATTGGGAGAAGGCAATGGGAAGACAGAGGCAGAGACTGGAGTGATCCAGCTACAAGGCAGAGAACTCCAAGGATTGCTGGCAACCACCAGAAGCAAGAAGCAAGAAACGAGGCTCCTCTAGAGCCTTCAGAGAGAGCATGGTCCTGCCGATAGCCTGATTTCTGACTTACAGCCTCCAGCACTGTGAGAGAATAAATGTTCATTGTTTCACACTAAGCTTGCAGCATTTTGTTATGGCAGCTCTCAGAAACTAATAGAGATGCTAAAATAGTATAGCAAATAATTTCCAGGATTATTTATGGCATCCTTATGTAGCCTGGAAGAGGTATGAGGTCAACCAGTCAAGACTATTTCTTGAGTATTTAGCACCTGCTCACTAATATGTTAGAATTAATATGTTAGAATTAGTAATATGTTAGAATGTAGATGGTGTGAAAGAAGGAAAAGACAGAGTTTGAACTCTAAAGGAATTTATAGTAGATTTGGGTATATAAATACTACAAAACAGGAAGCATAATCAATAGATAATATGGCACTGTACTGATTAGAAGTGCAGTAGTATTTCAAAGAAGAAGACTTCATTGTGAGCTTCAAAGAAATCTTCCTAGAAATACAGTATTTAAGTCTGGCCCTCAGAGGTGGGCAGGACTAAGGAGGGCAGAGTAATGGGCATCTTCTAGGGAGGGAGAAGAGCCTGAACGAAAGTACGAACGTGAGAAGGAACCTCAGATGCATGGGAGGCTGATCTAATTGGAGTTTTGATAATTGAGACTAGGAGAGAGACTCTAATAGAAAAGGAAAAGCGTAATAGCCCAGATTCATAGTGGTGCCCCAGAGAACAAGTGACAAAACGTGGTTTTGGAATACAACTTTGTCAGAGAATGCAGCATACTGGGTGGCAGTGGTGGGCACGCCTCTTGGAAGGACAAACCTCTTTTGGATGTGCCAGTGCCCTACTGTGTGATTTTGGGCAGATTATTTCTCCTTTATGGACTAGATAGAGACTGCAAACTGAATTACTTTGGGATAAATCCATGTTTAGTAAGGCTCGCACATGGTTAAAAAATTTTGAGTATTAATTAGAAGCTTTTTAAAATCCAGCATTAAAAAATCCCTCTCATGAAAAATGATAAAATCTGAAGCATAAGGTGGGCATTTCTACTACGACAACAACTGGCTGCCGCTAATGCCGTTAGGATGGCTTGTGTGTTGTAGGTTGCCGGGATTCAGCTCAGCTTCCTCATGCATCTACGATACCTGTGTAGTCCCTGTGGGCACTTGAATTTGCAGCCCCTGGAACAATCTCTGTCTGCCACTACTGCTTTCTTAGTCAATGACCATTTTCTTACCTGGGATGAAAATCATATCACCTTATAAATTATTGTTCATCTTAATAAAAGCAAAATGCTTTGCTTTTATGTCTTATTTCGACCAATGAGAAATAATTGCAAATTCACCTGTATGTTAAATTCATAGTGTTTTTCTGTGTGCATGTATATGCATATGTGACAGGGAGTCAGAGACATACATTGAAGTTGTATTTTGTTGAATTTACTGTGAGATATCCCTGGAAAGGATAATTTGTACATAGATATTATTAGTCATATGACCAATTCAGATTTATGTTTATATGTCAATTCTCTCTCTCTTCTTTCCTTAAGAAAAAGTTGGTTTTAAGTTGTTTGGTCAATTTTACTTTAGAATAGAAAAAAATATATAAATGCTAGGGTTTAATGCGTTGCAAAATTTTTTCAGATGTGAATATTATTTTTGGTGCATGCAGTAAGTCATGTATTGCTAAGGATTTGCTATGCTAATATACTTCCATTTGCTATCTCTTTTTCTTTGTTGTATGGTGTAGTGTTTGATATGATTTGCATCGATTCTGGAGGAATGAAAATTTCAGTGTAACATCAGCATTAGGGAGTAGCAACAGTGTTTGTTACAGAGGCATTTCTAATGAAGATACCACTCTAGCAGTGACGTCCTTTAAAAAAAATTTATAGACAAATGTCATTTAAGAATAGGTATAGAGATTTACTTGCACAGAAGAGAAGAGTCTTAAGTATACAACTTTTTACTGCTTTGGGGAAGAAAGTAATACTTTATTTTGTATTTCTATATATCTCAGAAGTATTAAAGACTTTTTCAATAAGTCTACTTGAAGAAAAGTTAATATAATCTGCATTTGAAGTTGAGTGACTTCTGTATACCTAATTTTTCTTGCTTGATATGTCTGTGTCAGCATTAAAAATGTATTACTTTGCCAAGGTTATATAATTTTGGTTATTTGCATTAGAAAGCAACCCTGTACATACACATAAATAAAATTAACAGGCAAAAACTATTATGGTACTATATTCTTGATGCTAATTTGACAATATACTACATCATAAGTACTCTAGAAAATGTTTACATTGTTGGGTTTAGTATTTTCCTTTCTGAAATGCATTTAAATATTTTTTAATTTTTTAATTTTTTTGTAGGTACATAGTAGGTGTATATGTTTATGGGATACATGAGATATTTTGATACAGGCATGTAATGCATAATAATCACATCATGGAAAGTGGGATATCCATCTAGTCAAGCATTTATTTGTGTTACAAATGATCCAATAACTCTTTTAGTTATTTTAAAATGTACAATTAAATTATTATTGACTATAGTCAGCCTGCTGTGCTTTCAAACGCTAGGTCTTATGCATTTTTTCTAACTATTTTTTTGTACCTATTACCATTAACCACCCCCTCCATGCCCCGCATCCCCCACTAATCTTCCCACCCTCTGGTAACCATCCTTCTACTCTTATCTCCATGAGTTCAATTGTTTTGATTTTTAGATCACATAAATAAGTAAGAACATGTGATGTTTGTCTTTCTGTGCCTTATTTCACATAACATAATGACCTCCAGTTCCATCCTCTCAAATGTATTTTATGTGTGTCATCAAAGACTATATAGGGATATTCATCTATTGTAATGTATAATAGCAAAAATTATAAGCATTAGAATTTTTTAAAAGTATTTTAAACATTAAAAACATTTAAAATGTTCATTAATAAGGGATAGGTTAAAAATAATTCTATGTGTTGGAATACTTTGTAGACATTAAAACCTAGAAAATTTTATGGCACAAAGCTTTCATTTTAAGAGGAAAGAAATAGAAGATTGTGTGTGTAATATGATCTTAAGTTTGTTATGCATATCAATATATTCCCTTATCACTCTAGATGGTATTATGGTTGATTTGTAACTTTTTATGTTGTATATCTAAGTATTTTCCTTGCATGTATTCTCTTTGTAATCAGAAAACAACAACAACTTCTATTTCTATTGAGTTATATGCAGTAAGGTCATGTATCTTAAATGTACAGTGTGATAAATTTTCGCACATGTATATACCTATCGGGTTGGTCCATTTTCATGCTGCTGATAAAGACATACCCACGACTGGGAAGAAAAAGAGGTTTAATTGGACTTATAGCTCCACCTGGCTGGGGAGGGCTCAGAATCATGGTGGGAGGTGAAAGGCACTTCTTACATGGCAGCAATAAGAGAAAATGAGGAAGATGCAAAAGCAGAAACCTCTAATAAAACCATCAGATCACGTGAGACTTATTCACTACCATGAGAACAGTATGGGGGAAACTGTCCCCATAGTTCAATTATCTCCCACCGGGTTCCTCCCACAACGTGTGGGAATTATGGGTGTATAATTCAAGATGAGATTTGGGTGGGGACACAAAGCCAAACCATATAACCTATGTATCCACCAAACAGGTCAAGATCTAGAATATTTCCAGGAGCCTGGAAGGCTCCTTTGGGCCTCCTTGCAGTCAATACCTTCCAAAGGCAATGGCTCTTCTGACTTCTGTCATTCTAAGTTAGTTTTGCCTGTTCTGAACTTGATATAAATGGCATTATATGGTAAATACTGTTTTTGTTTCTTCTTTTCACTCAGCATTATGTCTGTAAAGTCCATCCATGCTGTTTTTTTGTGGCTGTAGTCTGATCTTTTGCATTGCTTGTAGGATTCCTTGTGTGAATATATCCAAATATATTTTATCATCTCTACTGTTGATAAACATATGTGTTGCTTCTAGTTTTGGCTCTTTTGAACGTTCTTGCACTTGACTTTCAGTGAACATATGTACTTGTGTATGCATCTGGGGTGGAAGTGCTAGATCATTGGATCCCTGTATGTTTAGGTTTGGAAGATACTGCTATACAGTGTTCCAAAGTTATTGTGACAATTTGTATTCCTACCAGAAATGTTTCTGAGTTCAGTTGCTGCAGCTGCTACTTGGTATTATTGTCAGTTTTAGAAATGTTAGTTATTATTCTGGTTGTATAGATATCTTATTGTGGTTTTAAACTGAATTTCCCTAATGACAAACAATGTTGAGAATATTTTAATCTGCTTTTTGGCCACTTGGATGTCTTCCTTTGTGAAGTGCTTATTCTACTCTCTTGCCCACTTTTAAAAAACTGAGTTGTTTTTTCTTCCTGATATTGTAGCTCTTTGTAAGTCCTCTGTTGAATAGGTAGATTTCAACATCTTTCCATGTCTGGTCTTTATACTTTCTTAACAGAGGCTTTTGACCACAAAAGATTTTCAATTTTAATAAGGTTCAATATATCAACCTTTTATTTTTATAGTTATTGCTTTTATGTGTGTTCTTTTGAAGAAATATTTGCCTATCTCAAGGACATAATTCCTCTTACTTATTTTCTAGATGCTTTTTAAGCATTTACATTTGGGTCTGTGATCCATTAGGTGTGGTGTCAAAGGAAAGATTAGAGTTTATATTATTTTGTTTTTCAAATGCAGATTCAATGGATGCAGAACCATCATATTCCTCACTGCATTGCAGTGGCATCTTTGCCATTAATCAATTGTAAAAAGTATATCTATCTATCTATCTATGTGTGTGTATATATATGTATTCATGTATTTATATATGCATATGTATGTATATGCCTACATATTTATGTACATGTATGTATATGCCTACATATGTATCTACAAGGGCATACAAATATGTATATACTTGCGAAAAACAATAAAGAATTTATGCTCATAAGCTTAGAATACCAGCTTAAATAATATCAACGCCAAAAGTACACATAGCTTTGTGTTCCTTACACTAATGCCAGGAAATTGCTGTGAAATTGAACATAGACAATCCAATACTGTTTCTCCACTATTAAGTTTTTAAGTGTAAGACTGACAAATCAATTTCCTGTCTGGTCGGACTGTCTGATGCTGGATTCTTCTGATTACAAAACACTCCTAGTGTCGTTCCCTGAATTCCAGCTAAACCAGGAACCACTGTAACATGAATTTGGGAAATGATCTTTGTTAGATATCACTTAATATCCTGCAGTCCCTATTTACATTGTTTCATCTAAATCATTAACTCTGAGAGAATTGTAGTGAGTTAGACTATGTGAAAAACCTTAAATTTATTGTGAAAGAGTTTGAATTCTAATTTTCGGACAGTATTCCAGATACAATGTAATACATTTGCTATTCACCTTTCAACCAGAAGTCCGGCAAGTTTCAGAAATATTTCCAATAAGTTGCTTTATATATACGGTGAGTAAGGAGCACTTGGAAGGACATTATGGGTATTTTCATATGTGAAAACTAGTCACACGTAATAAAAATTAGAATATGGTATATAGAGTCCAAGAAAGCATGTACTGTGATGACTAAATAGAATTACTAGTGATGTCCATGTTAGTTTAATATAAAGAGCAGCATTTAAAACCATTAGTTCTGTCCAAAAATAGAAGAAATTGTTTCATGTGGTCACAAGCTGCTTGTCACTAGAAGTATTTAAACTGGATAACCAGTGTCAGGATGAAGGAAGGATGCCTCAATTGGATTGGACAATGGTCTCAAACTTCCAATTCTATGTCCATATATATTTATTAGTACAGAATGCACATAGTACTGACTTGTGAGTTTATTAGTTTTGTCATTGTTAATTCCAGAAGAAATCATGGTCAGATAGGATAAGGATGTATACAAAATAATAGTTTTTTATGAGTCTGCCCCATTTTGAGATGCTTTCCTTCTATTGGCTATTTTGATTCTTTTATAAAATAATAAAAGAGAAGGTGTAGAAGAACGAGAGATAGAGTCTGATCGAGGGATTGATCTTTCTATTTGTTTCTTATGAAATACAGTGATTTTAACACCCAGACAGTGTCTTCACACTTCCTGTCTTTTGCCTGAAAGTGGAATTCTTCAGTAGTCCCAAGTGTTCTGGATCCTGGGACCAGTGTGATTCTCTTTTTAGAGAGGCATGTGACAGAGGGCTTGCCTTTGACATAACCAAATGTCTGTAACCAGAAGCAGGCAACACACCTAGGAATAAAGAGTCTCACCATTTCTACCATCATACTTGGGGTAGAAACTACTAGATATGTAGACTATTTCTGCAAAGGGAGAGTTAGAAGTTGTCATCATTTGCTGACAAAATGTAGTTAAATGTAGTTACAGTCCTTTAAAGTCTCATTTGCTCTCCACAAAATAATAAAATCTGTTTTTCATTGTGACAGTGTTGAAGGTAGAGGTCCTCAAATTCCAAACAAGAACTATCCTAAAGGTATCCTATAATGTAAGATCAGTGCCATTAAAAGAGTTTATATAGTCATGATGGAAAAACTGAGAATCATAAAAGAGGTAAAGATTTACCTTGGATTATCTATAAAACTAATGAATAATAAGACGAGAGCCTAGGATTTGTGGTTTATAACTTTCTCCTCCTTAGTATTTTATCTTTTAAGCTTCCTTATTAATGTTGAGTCATTTTTTGTTGATATTAATACATTTATACTATTCAAGCAATATGTGTTACATTTGTTTGCATATTAGCTTAGATGTTTGTTTTTCAGGACAAATATGCACAGCCCACATGGTTGACTCTGTTGGGGTGCATGTATGTGTGTGTGTGTGTGTGTGTGTGTGTGTGTGTAACTTAAAACTGTGTAATCATATAGTGCTTGGGATCAGGTGTCTTAATATTGTGTATCTGTGGGTCTGACTTTGATCTTGGACTCTTACAGGAAACCTATATAACAGCCCATCTTAAAAGTAATGTTCTAATGTTCTGACCTGTGCCACAGTAGGAGATGTGGAGTAAATAATTAAAATTGCCATCATGAAAAACATTCCACAGCAGGAAAGGAATAAAGAACCTTCCTTGAGAAGAAAAAAACCACTAAATCACACAGTGAGAAATTAGGAAAAAAATAACAGAGAGCAAGCCATCATAAATAGTGTCTCAAGGAAGTGAACTATATATTAAAAATAAGACTCAAGTTTAGGAAGGTGAAAGCATTTCAATAGGTTTCAAGGCTGCCAGAAATTTTAGAATCAACTTTTCCCTTGACATGTTATACTGGTATTTTCACAATAGTAATATCATATTTATGTTGCTTATAAGAAAGTTACTTGTGGTAAATCCAATGTACTATGCACGTTGATCAGAAACCTTCACACTTCATCAAGTCATTCAGTCGTATATTACTTGGTATAAAAATGGATGACCCATATTCAATAAATATATTCTCTGTATTTTCAAATAAAAGCCAAAATAGAGGGCATTGCAAATTCACTTAGAATGATGTTACTAACATATGTCTTGTGAACCCAGAAAATCAGAGATAGGTCTCAGTTAATTTAGAAAGTTTATTTTGCCAAGATTTAGGATGGGCCTGTGACACAGCCTCAGGAAATCCTGACATGTGCCCAAGGTGGTCGGGGCACGGCTTGGTTTTATACATTTTAGGGAGACATGAGACATGAATCAATACATGTAAGAAGTACTTTGGTTCCATCTGGAAAGGTGGGACATCCTGAAGCAAGGGCAGGAAGTCTAGAAAAGGGGGAGGGAGCTTCCAGGTCAGAGATAGGTGAGAAATAAGTGGTTGCATTCTTTTGAGTTTCTGATTAGCCTTTCCAAAGGAGGCAATCAGATAAAGCATGTATCTCAGTGAGCAGAGGGATAACTTTGAATAGAATGGGAGACAGGTTTGCCTTAAGCAGTTTCCAGCTTGAATTTTCCTTAGTGATTTTGGGGCCTGAGATATTTTCCTTTCACAGGCTCAAACAGTTCAAAGGATAGTGGTGTAGTGCTTAATCTTTAGGCCTGTATGTGGCCTGGCACATATTGTTGCAAGCTTAGGTTGCGTTTATTAAGCACTTGCTACATGCCGGGCACTGCTTTAACTTCCTCCCATGTCTTCACTCTGATTCTTCTTAACAGTTCAATGGAGAATATCCCTTTATTATGTCCGTTTTGTGAAATTGTCACTGAGGAAGAGAGAGGTTAGTAACTTGCCCAAGATCACACACCTTGGTAGCAGTGCTGGAATTGAATCGAGACTAATTGGCTCTGGGGGCATACTTTTGACCACCACGAACGATTTCTAGGTTATAGCCAGAAATGGAAAAAGCCCCAGTTGTTGATTTTCTGGTTACTTCAGTATTGCTGGAAGCATCTCCTTAATGCAATTACCGTGCAGACTGTTGAATGTAGGCTGCAGGTGGCTGAAGGCAATGTAGCCCTTGGTCTTTAGTTCCTGAGCATATGCCTCCTTCACCTATTATATTGATGCAATGCTTGTGCACAGAGAGGTCAAGAAGATCTGCATGCCGGAGTTCATCTGTTCTGTGTATCTGACCATGGTTTGCCTGCCCCAGCGATGGAAAGGCAGAGATATTCACGCTGAGCAGCATCAGTGGGGAATGTGGGACTGCTTTACAGCCTCAATTACTTTTTATTTCAGTTATATATTATGCAGTAGAACTTTTAAATAAGGAGGCAAGTTACCAAATAAATAACAAAAAACCAAAATAGGGGCAAGATATCAGTGCCAGCAAAGAATACTGTCCCATAAGACTTTGAATTTAAAATGATTTATTTTTTTCCATTTTAATGTAAAGATTGTAGGATATAAAATGTGTATATGTTATTGATGAGTGTGATAATAATGATGATGATAGCAGTATTTAAATAGCACCTGACTATGTGCCAGGAGCTATTCTAAGGACTTTTTATATGTTAACTCATTCATCACCATATTGAGAATTTTTAGTATTATGAAATGAAATGAAGTTTACTGAATACAATTTAAATATCAGAACAGTTAGCTTTAATAACTTCAATTGAATACCAGTTCATATTAACAAATTTAGCAGAAAAGGTAGATGGTCATTTATTTTTAAATGGTATGCTTTCTTTCAAATCCCAGGTAGCTTTGGGAATCTTTCTTCTAGGTCAGCAGAATAGATGCATCATTCCCCCAGTCTATTCTAAACTAAGCTAAAAGCCCGACGATTCATCAGTAAGTAGTTTGTGGGTATTATTCTTGGATAGATGCATCTAAATGGACTATTTATAATTTAACTAAATCATGTCATGAAACACATTCTCACTTGCAAAAGTGGGGATGGCCTGCAGGAATTTATCTAAAAATAGAGGCATAGAGATATTCAATTATCATGTCCTCTTACAAGTTTATTTTTTCCCCTTTTCTTTTTCCTCTGTCTAATCTTCAAGACAGCAATTCAGCAAAGAAAAGTGGCAGCTTGTAGGAAGACTGTACTCATTTTAAGCTATAGCAGAAATATAGGATAATGCCAGATGTTTCATTCTTTGCAAGAAAATGAAATGATAAAAATCAATCTCTTTTTTCAATTAGATAAGAAACTCTTTCTTATCTCCCACCCCTTTGGAAGCTTAAGGTATTAAGAGATGTATAAAGATCACAAATAGAGGAGTCTCAGCACCTACTCTCTATTTTCAAATGCTCACTTAACCTCTATTCTGAAATTTAATGTGTTCAATAACCATTTTCTTTCTCCCAAATCAATTCTCTTTTTTTGTACTTCCCTTTTAGTACGAATGATATCATCATTTCCCTAATGGACTAGTGTCAGAATCTGAGTCATTTTCGACAGGCCTTTCTCTGTTAATTGTTATATTCACCTGTTGGTTCACTTTATAGTTTTGTCTGGGAAAATGTTTCTTGCCTCTATAATTCTGCAGCTAGAGCTATAGCTTAGGACCCATTCATTGCTTCTTGCCTTGACTTAGACAACAGTTGTGTGCTGGTGTCCTACCTCTGTTTTCTCTAAATCCATCTGATGCAAGACTCTGAGACTACTACTAAAATCTTTAATGATTCCCTCTTGCCTTAGAATTAACTACACACTTTTCACCCTGGAAATGAAGGACCTTGACAATATTCCACCACTCTACTATTCCCTATTAATGTCCCCTATTTGCCCAACAAATCTATGTCCCAACCAAACTAGACTCTTCACAGTTTCCTGAATGTGAGTCATATGTTTCTGTTTTTGGTCTTTGCATTCTTTTAAAGCTATTTCTTTCCCCTGGGATAACCTTGGTTCTCATTTCCACCTTTTAAAATCTTATTTGCCTGCATATGTCTGTCTCACACCACTAACTCTTTCTCCTTTCTCTAACTTACAACATTCTCTTTTCTTTATGCATTTCTATAGCCCTTTGCACTTCCCTTAAAGTTCCTTGTGTTATAATCAACATCACATTTTATAACACTGGTTCAACTCCCTAGTTCCCACACTCATGCATACATGTATGAGTTCCTTGTAAAAAGTATTAGGCCAGTTGAATGGAATTGAGCTTTCATCACTCTAAGTACCTCTCAGGTACAAAATCAGAAAGGCTCTAAGATCTGCCTTTAGCATATTAAAAACTCACCTGAAACTGTGCAATGTGAGCCCATGGAGTCCTTCTATTACAAGGTAGACTATGTAAAGACATATTTATTTTCTAAGTAATGGACCAGAAAGGACCTCTTCTGAAAATGTAGCTCAGAGAACTGGAATCTCAATTTATGCCACTGTGAGTCAGAAGAAGATTTTGAGTTTTGCTTCTTTTTTCCCCCAGTATATCACCCTAGTTATGCTTCATTTACTCATCTGGCTCTTCTTATGCTACTTGGTTTACAATTTGAATGACTGCCCAGATTTAGAAAGTCACTAGACCCGTGCTTGAATTATAGACTCTAAGCTTATCTCAGCCATGTAAAATACCCAGAATTCAAAGTGAGATATTTCCCTCCACAAAGACTACATATAAATGTGGGCACACGGAGAGTAATTATTATTGCAACATTAGTACTCGTGGCCTTCATGGCAAGATTTTCATCTAATGGGCAAAGGCTATGTCAGAAAAATGTTAGAGTTCAATCTGTTTTTAATTGCTGAAATTTTCCCAAGTGAACAGCAAATATATGCCACATTTTTCTTTGATTTTCCCTCTAAGGAAATTTATTTTTCATTTTGTTATATTGAAGGAGAAAATTATAATGTATTATAGTGTATATTTTGTTTTCTATAATATTTCTGGGCACACTACACTGTAATTACTGTTTTAAAACTAATGTAATAATATCTTTGGAATTCTTAAACTGATGCAACTGATTTGCTAATGGACACATTCATTCAAAGTAGTTTTGAGTGAACACATTAGTGCAGTTGTTTGCAAAGTATGATTTGGGGTCCCCTGGAAGTCTCTGAGATACTTGCAAGAAATGTGCAAGTCAAAAAGTATTTTCATAATACTGCAAAAATACTATTTGCCTTTTTCATGCTCATCCTTTCTGGAATGTACAGTAGAGGCCACATGATATGTGATATCACAATAGATTGAATGAGAATCTAGCTATCCTCTATTAAGGAAGATATTAAATAGATTTGCAAAAATATAAAACACTGCCACTCTTCTCACACATTTTAAAACATATAGTTTTTTAAAATCATACATTAATTTTGCTAACGTTTAATGGGTTTATTGTGGCTACTTACATTAATATTTAAACATTTTTAGCTTAATTTCTGATACAGTAAATCTGATAGATATAATGATCATAAATAGAAGCTCTTTTGGGTCCTCAATTATTTTTAAGAGCATCTGGGTAAAAAGTTTGGTAATTCCTGTATTAGTGTATATAAAATGAAGTCCCAATAATATCAAACAAATTATCTATTTCTTTATTTGCCAGTTGTATTATTTTAAATTGTGATAATATTAAGCATGACAATTGATTCCATTTCCTTGATTAAAAGTGTATTACAATAGACTCCTGCTTGTCTTAAAAAGAAAGTGATTGTCTGTTTTGATTTTTTTTTTTTTTTTTGGAGATGGAGTCTCCCTCTTGTCGCCCAGGCTGTAGTGTAGTGGTGTGATCTCGGCTCACTGACACCTCCGCCTCCCGGGTTCAAGTGATTCTCCTGCCTCAGCCTCCCAAGTAGCTGGGATTACAGGCACTGGCCACCATGCTTGGCTAATTTTTGTATTTTTAGTAGAGACAGGGTTTTGCCATGTTGGCCATGCTGGTCTTGAACTCCTGACCTCAGGTGATTCCCCCACCTTAGCCTCCCAAAGTGCTGGGATTACAGGCATAAACCACGGTGCCCGGCCTTGATTTTGTTGTTATTAAAACTTAGGAAAATGAAATATCTCTTCTGCCGTACCACTATATTTCAGGATTACCTTTTCTTAGATTCTTAATAGTTTTAATTCTAGTACATGACTATCATTTAGTTATTGAAAATGATTCTAAATCTTACATAATGGAAACATAAGCTTTCTCAGAGGAATAACCTTAAAACAAAACAGTAAGAATTGCTTTAATTTCCCAGAATCTACATGACTCTTTACTAGGTTAGCATTTATGGATGGGAGTCTTTTCCTAATATGAAACTAACAGGGATATAACACAAGTTATATGTATTATATATCACATTATTATAAATAAAATGTGTTTCAACAATAGGTCAGAATTTTTAAAAATATTTGGAAAAAGGCTCAGTAAAATAAATGTTAATGTCCTTCAAGTATAATATAGGTGCATAATACTAAATAATCAAGAAGTACCATATATTTTTTGTTTGTTTGTTTTTGGTATTACTAGTATTTTAATTTTAAACACTCTGGTGGGTGTAAGTGATGACACATTATTTCATTTGCAATTCCTTTACCACTGAAGTACCATATATTTTTAATTCAGACAACACTGTCCCTAAAAAATAGGTGGTCTCTCAGATATGCCCTTGAGTGAAAATTAGGGCCATTGGATTTTCCTGAGTTAAGTGTGTAACTTATATTTGAAAAAAGAATAGCAACATGTTAAGTACATCATGAGATAACTAAGAGGACTAGAGGAATTAAGGGCTTTGAATAAGTGAAAAAAATATTAAAAATGGAGACGTTTTTACAGTCTAGAAAACAAACAGGAAGAAATTTAATATTAAATTAAGAAATACGGCTGGGCGCGGTGGCTCACGCCTGTAATCCCAGCACTTTGGGAGGCCGAGGCGGGCGGATCACAAGGTCAGGAGATCGAGACCATCTTGGCTAACACGGTGAAACCCCGTCTCTACTAAAAATACAAAAAATTAGCCGGGCGCGGTGGCGGGCGCCTGTAGTCCCAGCTACTCGGGAGGCTGAGGCAGGAGAATGGCGTGAACCTGGGAGGTGGAGCTTGCAGTGAGCCGAGATTGCGCCACTGCAATCCGGCCTGGGCTAAACAGCGGGACTCCGTCTCAAAAAAAAAAAAAAAAAAAAAAAGAAATACTCCAAAACAAGCCACAATGGTAGAAAATGCAGATTTGAATAGATTAAGCATTAAGGGTGAAGAAACAAAAAACATCTTTTAACTTGACACTTCAAGGTTTAAAATTCTTCAGTGGCTTCCCACTGTTTTTGGACAGTCTATACTCTTGCATGGCACGTGAGATCTTTCACAATTTGGCCCCAAATTCCCATTCCCATGTAATCTTAACTTCTTTCCGTGACTTTATTGACTTTCCTTTCCTCCTACTGCCTTATTTTTAGTCATTTCCAAATACTTACTTTTCCAGATCTCTTTGTTTTTAATGTACTTTCCCCAAAATCTGGAATGCCTATTTCTTCTGCCAGAATAAACCGTTCAAGACTTGGAAATGGACTAAAGAGACCACTGGGTGCTATCTAGAAGATCCTGTGGGGACTGTTGATTCCATAGGTGTGTGCAGAGTTGATCGACTTTCTGTCAACTAGACTATTCTATGATTTCGTAGTGGTAGAAGTTAAGTTGTAGAAAACTGATAGCAGTGCAGATGATTCTTATCTGTAGCAATACAAATGGTTCCTGTTCATACTAATGCAAATGAATTTTGTCCAGTAGCGGTTATAAATCTCTGTAAGTCAAATAAAATATTTGACACGTGTTCATTTTATATATGAATGAGAGCAATGTTTTCAACTTTTTGAAAATTATTTTTTAGTACATGCCTTTTCTAACTACCACATATAAAACTCCTATTTACCCTTTGAGATGTGGTGAAAATACCACCTTCTCAGTGTGGCATTCTCTATTTCCCCAAGCAAAATTAGCTTTTTCTTCACAGTGTTCCCATTGTACTTTTAGTCTACTTTCGCTACTGTGTTTATCAAATTGTTATCTATCTATCTGTCTGTCTTTCTTTCTTTCTAGTTTTCCCACTAGACTACATCTTTAAAAGCAGAAAACTTTTTTTTTCATCTTTATATCACTTCTTCCTTTGCCAAGCATATAGCACATGACTTATAAATGTTTGCTTGGTAAATGTTTATTGATGAATGAAAGTCGAAGTCACAGAAAAGGGTAATGGGAATATTTTAGCAATTGTTGATAAGGGGGAATTGGTTACTTAGAGCAAAAAACAAAATGATGTTTTCACTTGTAGACTTTATGGAAAAATATAATTTAGCATGAAATTGAAAAGAGTTGAAGGAAGAAGCTTAATGAAGCCAGAATGACCTAGGAGACATGTGGATTAAGAGAGCTGAGAATTAGAGGCTCGCACTATGGCTGTTTTCCTGAACTGCTGCAGTCAAGACATTTTTCTTCTGTCATACTTTGTGCATTTGTAATTTAGGGGTAATAATGATTGTAATTATCCAGACAGAGGAATTCCGGTAATGGGATGTTTGAGTCTAAAGTGGACAGGAGGCAGCCTTACTTGGCTCATTTTGCTATGAGTGAGGATGGGAGAAATTTAAAATAAATGTGGCTTGAAATAAAATTAAACAGTGGCATGAATCCTCACTGTGAATTTGTAAAAGTCTTTTTCTTGGGGATTAGCATTACCTCCACTTCCTTACCATTTTATTTTTATTTTATTTATGTACTTTCAGGAACTAGTTTTTGGCAAAATAGGCAGTCATTAGAATGAATAGATAGACTGGCTTTTGTCAGGTATTCTGCACAATTACATTTAATTGTGTTTGGGTACCTTAAGACTCAGATGTTTTTGCAAAGATTTGGATGTTTTTTTCTGAAGCGAAGAGTGATTTCCAGTATTTACTCCCTAAATAGGTCACTTACAAATAGTAGACTTAAAAATCAGCAGTAAAATTTGAATTTATGCCCTGGCAGGTGAGAGAACTCAAACTGTTTACTAACACAGTTCACTGCTGTTTCCATGGCAACAGAGGCCAGTTTCTGTCAGTCCAGAGTCGCTTCGCCAGTTGACTTCAGCAGTGAATGCTGTGTGGTGTTGCCAAATGTCTGGCTTCTGTGTTTCCTGTTCCAAGCAATTGTTTCTTATCCTGAATACTAATGACTAGTCTACAAAGGCTGTGGTTCAGTACCACTGAAGACAGGACTGTGAATCATACGTAGAAAACTAGTGAGCGTTTTGCCTGTAGTGAATTTAAAACTATATGTAATTGGTTACATTCTCTAACTAGCTATGCCAGTAATTTATTAATAATATTACTTTGCTATTATTAGGCAGCTGGGCCTAAATAAGAAATGACAGCACAGCTGTCATCATTGAATCAACTGCTTTTTCAGAAAGGCTTGCTGACTTCGGCTGGTTATCACCATCATGTAAATTCAAAAGATTGTGCACATGTATGCCAGCAGAAAAATAAAATTGCAACTGGATTTTTTTTTTTGCTTTTAAAAATGTTCATATATTGATTGTTCTGAGATGGAGAAAAAGCAGCTGCCTGAGATGCCAGTGAAATGGCTGAGAAATTTAAAATGAGAGAAAAAAAGTAAAGCATTCGAATACAGAAAAAAGCTAAGCAGTTTTTGCTATTTAAAAAAGAGGAGTACTGTGATTTTTTTAAAGTTCTGGTTGTGTAGTGGTTCTCAGTGTGGAGAACTGGGACACTCTCTGCCTGGATCATACCCTATATCAGACATTTGAGAACCAGACTTGTTATAATTGTGTTTCTCTCTGGAGCATAAGTTCTTTGAGGGTAGACTGTTTTCACCATTGTATTTCTGACAGCTAGCACAGAGCCTGGCACACATTGAGTGCTCAATAAATATTTGATGAATTAAATGAAACTCAGTGAGTCCCTGGCAAGGAGTTTCTGGTATTTAAGCCCGTCAAATTTCCTGGAAGAAGTCTATTAGACTCTTCCCTTCATTAAAGAGGATAATAGATCATTGCTAAGTATATTATATGGAGCTTCAGTTGACAGTTACGTATGGCTGTGGCAGCTCCAAGACTTTGTTTTCAGCAGACACCACTCAAAGGTGGCTCTTCTCATCATTTTTTTTTTTCTAGCTAGTGGATCCATTAATAATAGCTTTTGGTGGCATCTTTTGCCATTTCTAACTCTTGGCTTGGCCATCCCCTGCAGAACTTTCACTGTGAAGAAGGTTGTCTTCTTCACAGTGAAAGTTCCCATTAGTAATTTTAGGAAAACATTTCCAGTGTTCCTTTCCTTGTGCCAAATACCAGCCCTGGTTCTCAACTGGGGAAAATTTCATCTGCCCCGCCCCTGCCCAATTTCTCCCACTGGGCATTTGGCAATATCTGGAGTCATTTTTGGTTGGCAGAGAGTGCTACCAGCCTCTAGTGGGTAGAGGCCAGGAATACTGTGAACCATCCTACAATGCATGGGAGAGCCCCCACAACAAAGACTGTTTCAGCACAAAATATCCATGGTTAGGAAATTAAGCTCTTTTATGAAACTTGCTCAAAACCCTTCAGAATCACACCCTATGCCTTCCTTATCTCCTTTTTGGAACTGTTCCCTCTCTCCCCACTTAGGCTTAGCTTGTTGTTTTTTTTTTTTTTTAATACTTTAACAATTTGATCTCTCTTCCTCAGAATGTCAAGATGTTGTCATGAAGAGAGAGAGAGAGACAGACTCTCAGTCTTTGCTACCAGTGTCTGAACTTATCGGTACATAGTTATCTTGCCGGTAGCCCCACATTCCAGGTGGTGGAAAAGCAAATATGCGAATCAAGTTCCAGAAATAATCAATCTTGATGATCCCATTGCTTTTAAGAGAGACATGCAAGGAATGCTCTACAAATATAGCACATGGAATGTGGAAGCTGCTCTATAAATAATAAATATTTTGTATTGTTCTACAACTTTTTCATAAATCAGGAATTTTAAGTTGGGTATTTGTGTATTACATGAAATTCTATAAAGCAAATGTGACTTGACAGTCTTAATAATATCATTCTAAGGAAGGGCTTTTTTTTTTCTTTGAAAACTCCAAATTGATCTAAATGATATTGTAGGTATTTTAAAACAAGAAGTGAGCATTTTAATGCATGAATATGGGGCTCAAATTTTGAATTCTAACATGAAGAAGATAATTGCACAGCATTGGATAGTCAGGCTTTTCTAAGTCATTAAGAAGGGAATACTGATCATCATTTGTTAATGATTTCAGTGACAAAGAAGGGCGGGAAGCATTTCACTTTTAAAACTCTTTACAAATATAAACTAATGAATCCTTAGAACCTCTTGTAAGAAATGTATTAGGCCAGGTGAGGTGGTTCATGCCTGTAATTCCAACACTTTTGGAGGCCGAGGTGGGCAGATCACTTGAGGTCAGGAGTTCGAGACCAGCCTGGACAACATGGTGAAACCCTGTCTCTACTAAAAATACAAAAAATAGCCAGGTGTGGTGGTGCACACCTGCAAACCCAGCTACTCAGGAGGCTGAGGCAGGAGAATCTCTTGAACCTAGGAGGCAGAGGTTGCAGTGAGCAGAGATTGCACCATTGGACTCCAGCCTGGGAGACAGAGCAAGACTCTATCTCAAAAAAACAAAAAAAGAAAAAAAATAAGAAAGGTATTATTGTCTCTCTTAAAAGATGTAAATACGGTTTACCATATAATATTCTAGTTTAGCAAATTCATGAACAGTGATTATGGGAAGTGTTTCTGCTCTCAAATACTATAATTAAACTCTTTTCCTGGATGCTTTCTTTGTAAATAGCATAATATAGTAATTTCTAGTATTTGCCTTTAGGTGACTAGTCTTGATTCATCAAGAGAAAGGAAATTTGGATAATAAATGTACAAAATATCTTAGTATGTCTAGGCCTCTATAAAAAACTACCATAGACTGGGTAGCTTATACATAACAGAAATTTATTTCTCACAGTTTAGTAGGGTGGGAAATCCAAAATCAAGGTACAGGCAAATTCCACCTCTGGTGCGGTCTCGTTTCCTAGACAGGCATCTTTTTGCTTTAACCTCACCTGATGAAGGAACAAGGGATCTCTCTCCAGACTCTGTTATAAGGGCATTAATTCCCATTTATGAAGAATCTGCCCTCAAGACCCCACCTCTGAAAAAGTATCATCACTATGGGGCTTAGGATTTCAGCATATGAATTTTGGGTTGACATAGACATTCAGACCATAGCACAGTGTAATGAGATGACTTAAATATATGTTGCCAAAAACCAAGTCTGTAATCTCTTTTCCTTTTAATTTTTATTTAAAGTTTATTTCGAAAGTTTGCTTTCATGAATATTCACATACTTAAAGTTGCAAAACAAGGCTTTTTTTACTGCTTTTATTCTGAAAAACAAAATTCCTTATTGTACTCTAATCACTATTTATTGTACCACTAAATTGGTTCAAATTTTAGACACATATCAAGAAGTTTATATCTCACAAGTATTCTAATAATAGGCAGGCCCTTCAGGTTTCTTTTCTTATAAAAAGAAATTTAGAGGTTACATTAGCACCAACTATTAATGTCAGCTTCAAGGGGAAAATAAAAGAAGCAGGAAGCTCTCTACTTTTTCTGTCCTCATTTTTTTCCAAACCATTTCCCAGCTTTCCTACCTGGTTCTCTACAGAGAACTGAATCAAAACCACTGTTCTCATGATCTGCTTTAAGTTTTTGGAATTTGAGTACAAGGAAAAAGAAGAACAAAAATAATAGAAGACGGTTATGAAATGGTAAAAGTTGTATTTGGGCCAGTCACCAAGAATTCAGGAGCAAATATCCACTGACTGTCTGAATTAATTCTGATCACACACTAATGGCAAAATAAAAGATAGGCAACCAATATTAAGTGTCTACTATATGCCTGGCACTGAGATGCTGTGAGAGACAGTCTCTGCCTTCATGGAGCTTCCAGAGCAGGAGACAAGTGGAGCAGTTGTTAGTTCAAGTGCTTGTGGCATTGTCTGCAAAGAGTGAAGGCATCATCAGGAACTGGCTTCAGTGGTTTCCTGAAGCTCAGCACTCTAGCCTTCCTGATGGCTAGAGGAGGGTCACAGGGGTGGTTAATATGAGAGTAGCTTTGTTTATTTAAAAATAATAGAAACTTCAGACCTATTTATTGTATTATTGAGTATCATTCTTATATATATTTTTAATGTTTATTAGTATCTTTTTTATGTCAGGATTTGGGGAGGAATTCAATAATTAATATTGTCATAGCCCCTCATCTGGAAATGTCTACAAACTATTGGGGAACAAAAACAAGAAAATAGGAAATTGTAATAGAGTGTGATGAATATTCGGCTGGGTAATCTGGATTGCTGTGGAGGTACATAGAGAGGACCACAGGGAGTTAGCAGAGACTAGAGAGTAATGGACATCCAAGAGTCTTACAGAAAACATGGAATCCAGCAGGTCAAATCAGGTAAGTGGAGCAGCACGTCAGGCAGATAGGACCACACAGACAAAGGCTCTAATGCAAATGGAAACACACAGAAGCACAAGCGTTCAAAGAGACTGTGGGATAAGAGGAGTGGAGGTGAGGAGATGTCAGCCATGAACCTGGAGAAATAAGCAGGGGCCAGTCATGAGAGATCTTCTATGCCATCTTAGGAAACTTAGGATTTATCTAGACACAAAGAAGGAGCCAGTGTAAAGGTTACCAGAGGGAAATGATGTGACCAGATTTATGTTTGACATCGATCACTCTTGCTGAGATATAGGGAAAAAATTAGAGTAAAGAGTAGAGATAAGAAAAATCGTCCGGGTAATAACATTGAATACTGTATACAGAGCCAATTATAGGAAAACAATTCTCATTAGTGATCATTTTTATTGTAAAATTATTTAAGTGGGTACAGACATAAAACTCTATATAGGCTGGGTGCAGTGGCCCATGCCTGTAGTCCCAGCACTTTGGGAGGCCGAGGTGGGTGGATCACGAGGTCAGGAGTTCGAGACCAGCCTGGCCAACATGGTGAAACCGCGTCTCTACTAATAATACAAAAAGTAGCCGACCTTGGTGGTGGGCACCAGTAATCCCAGCAGCTACTCGGGAGGCTGAGGCAGGAGAATCGCTTGAATCCGGGAGGCAGGGGTTGCAGTGAGCTGAGATTGCACCACTGCACTCCAGCCTGGGCAACAGAACGAGACTCTGTCTAAAACAAAAACAAAAACAAACAAACAAACAAAAACTCTATATAACATCTTTATGCTTATAGTTTTTATGTAACTATAAAACCAACGGATTGACAAATTACCAACCAGATTTAAAAATAATAAAATTCAAATTAACAACATTCAATTAATATGAAAGATGGTGTGAGTTTCTTGAAAATACATCCCTGATTTTAAGTGTCAGTGGTTCTTAGAGGGTGGTCCTGACCAGCAGTACTAGCCTCACCGAGGAATTTGTTAGAAATGCTAATTTTCAGGCCCCACCCCAGACCTACCAGTCAGAACCTCTGAGGGCAGGCCAGGCAGTCCCCGTCTAACCCTTCCAGAGGATTCTGATGCACACGAAGTTTGATAACCACTGCGTAGCAAGTGAACAGATGGATCTCCTCCAATACGAAGAATACAAGACATTAATTTTTCTGAAAGCAGAAGGTCCTAGGAATAGAATTTACAAAAATTGTTTTAAGGAATCATGAGAAATGCACATTTAGCATCATCAGATGCATAAAATATAAGAAATTCTCATCATTAACTATGATTAAATTAAATAGTAGATAGGAACTATTAATAATTCTAACTCTAAGGAGAATTTTACTATGCTTTTCTTCTTTTTAGAGTGGATTAGATTCCTTGTCTTACCCAGTCTGTGGCATGAGTTTTATCATGCCACTTAAATCATTCAGGGCAAAGAACATTATATTTACATTCCAGTTCTATGTTTGCCAGTCAATACTGTTTTATGCTTTTTCCTATATACATATTTTTAAAAACATTTCACCTAACAGAAAAATTCCTACTTCTATCTGCTGGTTCCATTTTATCAGAAGGGTGAAATATTTTTTCATGTCCCACCATCATAGAAGTTTTCCATTTGTCTGTCAGGGGTTGATAAGCCTGGTGCAGGACCACCCAGGATTGGTTCCTTTCATCTCCTGGGTGCTCCCTCAGAAGGGAGCTTCTGTTCTTCCCTACCACTTCTGAAGCCTCAGCCCTTCCTCCTTTTTTGTTAGTCACTGCTGAATTTTCTCCTGTTTCCCACAAATCCAGTCTTAACCAGTCTTTAGGAACAAGAAAAAACAAAACAAAAAAAAGTTTGCATTGCACCCAAATCTTTCTTTTTCTTTTTTTTTTTTTTTGAGACCAAGTCTTACTCTGTCACTCAGGCTGGAGTGCAGTGGCACAATCTCAGCTCACTGGAACCTCCGCCTCCCGGGTTCAAGCGATTCTCCTGCCTCAGCCTCCCGAGTAGCTGGGATTACAGATGCCCACCACCAAGCCTGGCTAATTTTTATATTTTCAGTAAAGACAGGGTTTCACCATGTTGGCCAGGTCGGACTCAAACTCCTGACCTCAGGTGATCTGCTTGCTTTGGCCTCCCAAAGTGCTGGGATTACAGGCATGAGCCACTGTGCCCGGCCTCTGCTAGGTTCTTTGAGTCTTTGTTTTGTTTTCCGCTTTGAGCAGGGTAGGGAAAAAAATAGCCCTTGGGATATTAGTAAGAGAGAAAAGAGGATGGGAAATATAGAGAATATATATATATATAAAATATATATATATAAAATATATATAAATTTATATATTATATATTCATATATAAAGACATATATGAAACTAGAAGATATCATAATAAAAGCTATAACATATTTTTGTGAACCATGTTTTTATTTCTTTTGTATCATAGTAGACAGTACACATTGGAGCTGCAGTTATTTTTCTAAAATATTTATTCAGCAGATAATCTTTAAGCATTTATTATGTGCTAGGAACTGCTTTAGATATTGATGAGATAGCAGTGAACACAGAACAAAAACCCCTGCCTTCATGAAGGTTATAATGTAGGGAAGGGACGCTGACAAAAAAATTACATCCATAAAATGTAGAGCAAGTTAGATGGTGATAAAATTCTACGCAGGAAAATAAAGCTGGGAAGGAGGTTAAGGAGTAGGGAGGAGAATACAAGTTTAAATGGGTGGTCAAGGAGGGCTTCACTGAAAAGGGGACATTTGAGTATACCCCTGAGGAGGTGAGGGAGCAAGTAAAATAGAGATCTGGGAGAGCATCCTCCAGGCAGAGGGCGTGGGGCCCGAGGGGGTTAAACAACAAACACCGTGTTGTTTTGTTCCTTCATAACATGGAAGTGAAAGTCGGGGGATGTGAGTGTCGGGCTGTGTCCTAACACGTAATTAAACCGCTTTGGATGGCGTTGACATTTTCAAATCTGATTTTATGCTGTATTTTGGCAGGTGCAGAGCAGGCTTTGATGTAGGCCTTATTTAGCTGTACCATGCGAGTGATACCCTTCTGAGGCCTCTAGCAAGTTCCCTGTATCACCGGTTTTTCCGTTTTGGCTGGTGAGATGACAAACTCTATCTAGCCTGGTTTGAGCTCTGTGAATTGCTTCAGGAGGTTCTTTCCAAAGCCTTGTGGGGTTTCAAACCAGGCCTGTGCTGATCAGTACTCAGCCAAAGCCTCGAAGAGGTTTCTATCCAGGTTTCCGGAGCTCTTTCTCTTCAGGCTGTCTCCTTTCTCGTATTCTGCCCTGTGAATTCTGGCCACCTCAGCCTCCCTGGTCTCTCCTCTCCTCACCTTGCTGAAGCCATGAGACCACTGAGCTTTGTTAGGCTTTTCCTATCCTAGTGCTTTAGAGCTGCCTCCAGGCAACAGTTTGGAGAAAGTATAAAGAAAATTTGTTTTCATTCTTTCAAACAACACAATTTTGCTCTGGCTATTTTTCAATGTCAGAAAATACTTATTCTTGAAGTTTTCTTTTTTTTTTTTCTTTTTCACAGTAGGAGGGCAATTCTCTGGGCTGTTAATCCCTCATGGGTAGAAACAGAGGTTCTAGTAGAACTTTTGATTGCCAAACTAATAAAAAGCCTTTCACAACTTAACCTATTTGTATTTATATGTAAACTCTGGCCCACACTTAGAAACCTGTATACCATGGAAGCAAAAATTCTGCCCATGAGTTTCAAGTTGGGTTATCTCAAAGTAAACCTAGGGGCAAGGATTCAAGTGCAGAGCAATTCATTTGGGAGGTGATCCCAGGAAACATGGATGGAAGAGTAGGGAAGTGAGAGAGGGAAAGGAAAGAAGACACTAAAGGGCATATTATCGACTCACTCACCAGCTATAGCCCAGGGCCCAGTCCTGCCAAGGAACTCTGGGGGCTCCTATACAGCACACCTCGGAGCTAATCACATTGATGAGGAAAGAAGCCGGGTGTATGTCCGTGGACACATCAGCCAGCATTTGCTGAGTTGCTTCTGTGGGTGTTAACTCCGCACTTCTGGGTTGTCCTGCATGCTGGTTATACATGTTCCCTGTGGTCAGAGAAAAGTCCTCAGGCAGAGCGGTGTAGTTTGGATATTTGTCTCCTCGGAATCCCATGTTGAAATGTAGTCCTCAGTGTTGGAGGTGGGGCCTGGTGGGAGGTGTTTAGATAGAGGCGGATTTCTCCTGAATGGATTAGCACCATCCTCTTGGTGCTGTCCTCTTGATAGTGAGTGAGTTGTTTTGAGATCTGGTCATTTAAAAGCGTGTGGCACCTCCCCTGCACTCTGTTGCTCCCACTCCTGCCATGTGAAACGCCTGCTCCCCCTTTGCCCTCCACTATGATTGTAAACTTCCTGAGGCCTCCCCAGAAGCAGAAGCCAGTGCTATGCTCCCTGTACAAGCTGCAGAACCATGAGCCAACCAAACCTCTTTTCTTATAAATTACCCAGTCTTAGGTATTTCCATATAGCAATGCAAGAATGGCCTAACACACAGAGATTCTCAGATGTTGACAGTAAGCAGCCTTCCTAGTGCAGAGGTGAAAGCCAAGGGGGTATAAGCAGGGTTACTAGTATTGTTGCCACATCAGACATGGGATGCAAGTTAAACCCTTTCTAAAGAAGTGCTCTGTGCTCCGATTTCAACCCAGCAGACTAAGTAGACCTGATCAAATAGATACAGGCTTAAGTCAGTCTTCTCTTCCTTTTCATAATTATTAGAGGACATTCTTTAAATTATTTCTTCAAAGTACTGTGAATACCTAAGCTACCTGGAACTCACAAGGAATTAATAATTCTATACATTTGATATTTTCCTGTACCTCAAAGTTTGAAATTCTAGGGGACATTTTGGAACATTAATTTTTTTATACAAATACATCCACACTTTTATTGCCTTCTTAAATAGAGTATGTAAAATAAATGTTAGATTGTTCTGAAGACTCAGTGAATTTTATTTAATGTGATATGTTTAAACTATAGACATAGTTGTATTTGTAGATGTGGAGAGAAAAACATTTAGGTTAGATGAGTGCTCTGCTAGCAGCGTTCCTGACAAAACATCTTATGGTGACTTAGTTTTATGCATTTGTACCTTTCTCATAAGAGGAGGGGTGTAGCCTGATGGCCTGGACACGGAAACAATAATGAGTTATGCAAAAATAGTTATGAGACCAGAGACCACCACCGCTTTCTCTGAAGTGGTTTAATTGGCCCTCCCATACTCAATATCATCTCCTTGGCCAAAGCTGTCCTCACCCTTTGACTTGTAGGCACTTTTCAAAACACATCTATTATTTCTTGTTGTTTGTTTTGTTTTAGAAACAGAGTCTCCCTCTGTTTTTCAGGCTGGAGGGCAGTGGTGCGATCATAGCTACTGCAACTTCAAACTCCTGGACTCAAACAATACTCTCTCTGCCTTCTGAGTAGTTAGGACTACAGGCAGACACCATCACGCCCAGTTAATTTTTTATTTTTATTTTTTGTAGAGACAGGGTCTTGCTATGTTGCCCAGGCTTGTCTCAAACTCCTGACGTCAAGCTGTCCTCCCACCTCGGTCTCCCAAAATGTTGGGATTAAAGGGTGCGCAGCCCACAGCTATTAGTTCTATACCACGGATACAGTTGATACCAGGAATTTCCTCATTCACTTACCCAAATGTTTTTTCTTCCTACACATTGTTGACAGAAGGAAATGATGAGGATTGTGCTTCATCATCTTAAGAATTTGTGCTAGAGATATGGAGAGAAGTATTATATTTTCTTAATAGCCATTGAGATCAATACATTATATTTTTCTGGACTTCACTCAGTTGCACACATTTCTAGATGTTCCTCTTAACTTTTTATAGGAAATAGAATACCAGATACTATTTTTAAAAAGTATTCTTACTCTAATAATTAGACAAATATTGAAAACCTTGCAGTGTTCTTGATAAATTGGTGAACTTCCTATAAATACTCTTCAGAATCAGCAATACTATAAAATCTAAGTAAGTTTCTGTCTCCATGGGCTCAATTAGTGAAATAAAACTGGCTCAGAAAGATATGAGAAAAAGTCCAATGTAATGGTCCTTTTTCTTGAGGGAATCATTGTGATTGCCTGAAATTGCCTTCCACTTTAAGTACAAAAATTTATAAAATTATCCAGGAAAAGTTATATGCCTATTCACAAATTAGTTTACACTTGACTCCCAAATATTGTATTTTATAGGAATTTATAGCATTAGCACTTGCAAAATGAGTCATTTTTTCCTTAACCTCTTTTAATCAAAGGGCATTTAGTTCCTTAGAATCCCTTCAGTTTGGAAGTTAGCAAATACCAATGCAATATAAATTATTTAGAAGAATGACAGTGCTTAGAAATGAATTATCTAAAAAATTAGAAATTTATACTACGGTATAAATGTAAATCTACATTTTTTCATCAGTAGCATCTAGTTTTTTACTGCCATGTCTCATTTTGAAATGCCAAAGCTATATGCATTTCTTTAAAAAAATGTGTATAGCTCCATTGACTACTTTGCTTAAATAAAACCTTGTACTTTTTCTGTAACCACTAGACCAGAGTTGGGGCATGCTTGGGCCTTTTCACTAAGAAGCATTTATCAGAACATTGTATAGTTGCCTTAGGGTAGGCTGATGTGATGTGTAGCACATCTATCTGGCATTGGCCGACTCGGGACCTGTAAAAGATTTCAACAGCTGCTCTTCTGAAGTGCTGTACTGGTATTACACAAGGTAGATTATCAAGCTAGATTGAATTCCATAAGAGTAGAGGTTATGTTTCTTTTGCTTATTTATCCCCAGTGCTGAATATGGTGCTAATGATCAATAAATATTTAGTGAACAGATGACTTAATTTGTTCAGAAGTTTTCTGATGTTTTTGCTATCATGCACAGGTGAAGTCTGACCCAGTTCTCCCGCTGTCTGGTTATCTACTCACTTGATTAGACTTCTAGTGGTCTTGTCTATAGTTGCACTTACCATGCTGTATTATAGCTTTCCTATTTACAAGTTTTCAGTCACCACCAGACTGAGTGTTCCTTGAGAATGTTGACCCTGCCTTATATATTCTTGCATCATAAAAGTCTAAAACAATGGTTTACATAATGTCTGGTAGCTTTTTAGCAAGCTAGTCTCAACATTTTAAAGACATATGCAAGTATCTGCTTCCTTTTACATACTAGTTTTTCACTAGAGGAAGATAAGTCTATGGCCAGAGGTAAGCTTAGATTTAAAAATGAAAGGAAAAAGGTCAACTTTATAAGGCTGCTACATCTAATATAGTAAATGGTGGCTTCATTTATTCATCAATTCATGTTTTCAACCAGTATTTATTGAGTGCTGAGTGCCAGCCAGGAGTCAAGCATCATTCTAAGTACTGACAAAGTCACAACAAATAAAAGAGACCCAAAACCCTGTGTTTATGTATTTTAAATTCTAATGAGGGAAATATGTAATAATTAAGATAAATAAGTAAAACACCTAGTTTATTACATAATGATAAAGAGCTAAGAAGAATGAATACAGCAGGGAGAGGGGATACAGATAACTGGGAGAGCAGATTGGCTTTTTGATAGATTGGCCGTTGCCAGTATTACCAAGTAGGTAATTTTGAGTAAAGACCTGAAGAAAGAGAGGTTGCCATCTATGTGGACATCTGGAACAGCATTCCTGGAAGAAGGAAGAACATGCTGAATCCAGTAGTCAGATCTCAGTTCTCAAATTACTTGTCCTTCTTAGCAGCTCTTGTCACAGTAGATCACTCTGCTACCACAGGGCCACTTTCCAGCTTTCCTCTTCTTTTGCTGATAGCTCCTTCACTGGTTTCTCCTTTTCTTGATTTCCAAATGTTGGAGAATTCTAGAGCTCAGCCATCATAATTCTTTTCTTCTCACTCTCCTCCCTGTTCAGCTCATCCTATCCTGTGGCCAAACACACTTAAATCTGTATTTCCAACCTTGGCTTCTCTGAAATCTAGATCTGTATATCCAATTGCTCACTTAACATTTCATCTACACAGTCAAATACTCATCTCAAATTTAATACGTCCAAAATCAATTCTTAGCCTCACTACCAACAAATGCTTCACCTTATTTTTCTCCACCTCAGGAAATGACATCATTATTCACATAGTTGCTCAAGCTAAAACTTAGAATTGCTCCACGAGCCCTTTTCTGCTCTTCCATCCCACAGAACACCCATTGGCAAGTCCTGTTGGGTCTAACTTCAAAATATTTACCTCAAATGAGTATTTCTACTTCTACAGCTACTTTACTACTCCAAACCATCACCATCTTTTTCTAAGAATATAAAACTAAAGACCAATAGATATAATAGATATAGCACTATTATATATTATAATTATAAAATGCATTATAACATACATATAATATTAATATATTTTTGGAATATAACAACATAATATATTATTATATAACATAATGCTATGTATGTGATTTATATAATTATAAATATAGAAACATAATTTATCATATATTAACATATCCCATACTATATAATGCTATAACTGAAAATATTTATGCATATTAACATAAATATAGAAACTGTCTCCTAATTTCCTCCCTGCTTAACTGTTGCTCTCTGCCTCTTCATTTTCCATACAGCATCTAGAATGGTCTTTTAAAAATAAAAATCTGATCATATAATTTTTCTGCTCAAAACTCTTCCCTGATTTTGCATCCTTCAGAAGCAAACCCAGCCTCCTTACCATGTCCAACAAAACCCTATATAATCTAGCCCCTGGCTACCTTTTCTGCCTCATCTCAAGACATAACCTTCCCTGGCACTTTGCACACTCATCCGAGCATCTCCTGCCTCAGGGCCTTTTCTCTAGGTGTTCTTTCTGCCTTGGATATCCTAAACGCTCCTTCACTTTATCCATGTCTCTGCCTAAATGTCACATAAAGCAGAGGCCATATCTGACTACTCTATCTAAATATAATTCTGTACCAGTGTATAGTCCCTTGTTCTATTTCATCTTTCTTGATAGCCTTCATCACCACCTGAAAGTATAGTGTTTATTTATTTTATTCTTTGTTTATCTTTCTGTTGCCTATTTAGGGCAAGGTCTTTTTTTTTTTTTTACTTTTATTTTTCACTGCTATATTCATCCTGTTTCTTAGAATGGTGCCTGGCACATATCAAGTTCTTGATAATTATTTGTAGAATGAATGATTCAAGATCTCTCTTTTGAATTTCCATACCCTCCTATTTAAAAACCTATCATAGCACTTAAAATTGTATCTAATGAGAAGTTATTTTTCTGACTCATGTGACTATGAGCCTCTGGAGGAGAAAGACTTTAACATTAATCTCTGATTTTCCAGTGCTCATAAAAGACTTGGGTACACAGGGTTTTTTCCTAAAATGACACTTATTGAATTAACAATTACTTGGACTCATCCCTCCCTAAAGAAGCAATTCAAGGAACCTCTGGTGTTTCCCCAATGCATTAAGCTAGTTAGAGATACTGGGCATCATGATCATCAACTACCTTGTCCTGGATACAATACAGCCCATCTCTGGTTTAGAAAATAGTTGAGTGACATTCAGGAAGCATCTGAAATTTTAGATCATGGTTTTTATAGCTAAAAAAATGCTAAGAGTTTAAGATAACATTAGAGCATCTTAGATTTCATAGAGTTCAACATTAGTGATCACTCTGGGGACTGTTGTGGGGTGGGGGGAGGGAGGAGGGATAGCTTTAGGAGATATACCTAATGCTAAATGACGAGTTAATGGGTGCAGCACACCAGCATGGCACATGTATACATATGTAACTAACCTGCACATTGTGCACATGTACCCTAAAACTTAAAGTATAATAATAATAAAATTAAAAAAAAACAAAAAACATTAGTGATCATCTAGTCAAATGTCTTATTTTACCCATGGTGAAGCTGAGGTCCAGAGAGGTGGTGCTATTTTCGCAGGTGATAACGAAGTCAGAACTAGCGTTAGTTAGACTGATTGCAGTCTGATTCTTTCTCCACCATACCATTTTCCATATGTTACTCAATTTATTTGATCTTGGTCATCACCTCTCCAGTGGTAACCTCAGAAGACTGTATCTAGGTAACGTCTTAATTCTACTCTGTTTTCACATATAGATTTTCTTTCCATATATTTAGAAGCCTTGATGGTCCAAGTCAGTAAGTCACACTTTTATGACAAGAATATTAACAGTGAAGAAACATTAGATCAGACTTTTAGACAAATTCTAAGCTGTATCTTTACTCCAGATACCACCAACATTATTGAACATTATCCTAACTTGAATTATTTCTGGTAGTGATTGGGTTTTCTAGTAGCGATTTAAATAGACTTATGTAGTAGTGTGTAATCTATGGATTATTGGGAGTAATTTTAATGTAAGCATTTTAACAATGAAAGTTGCATGATGCTTAGAACATATAGGGACAATAAAAGTCACAACTCTCTTGAGATTTTTAGAACGCCTGATGCTTTGAAATGTGTGTTAAAGCATTACTCATGACTATTTCTTTCCTAAAACGATGGCAGCTGTGTTTTCCTATCTTGTGATGAATATTCTTAAGATCACCATACAGAAAAGAGCAAGAATGTATTTAGAGCACATGTCAAGTTTATATGGTGCAGTTTTGGCAAAAGTAAAACAAAGAACAAAAACTTTGTGAGTAGATTCTTTGATAGAAATAGTTCATAATTAATATGTACTTAGAAAACTGAAAACTAGAATCACCTCCAATAGAATTACAGTGTTTTTATTTAACAATGACAAGCAGATACAACATATTTAAAAGGTTTTTGTGGGTTGTTTATAAAGGTAAAATGCTAGATTTATTGGTCTATGATCGTAGAAAATGGATTTTGTTATTTTAAGCCTTTTTTCATGATCCTCTTTCCTTACCCGGCTGGGTAAATGTTCCTCCTTTTTCCACTTATAACACCTCAAGCAAATCATTCTGTTTTCCTCATTGAACTGAAATGGCATGTTTATACTCTGGTTTTTCTTGAATGCAGCTTAAAGTCCCTTAAGGCAGAGAGATCTGATATTCAATTCCTGTTAACGGTGCCAGCATTTTCCCAAACAGGCTCAAACATGCTCTCTACCTACCAGTTTTCAAAATCCCTTTGGTTCAGCCTTAAACTTCTCTTCTGTGAGGCTTGACTGACACTGAGAAGCATCATCAACAAACTAACAGGGTTATTCAGACTGAGGCTACTATTAGGTGGGGAGATGGATGTGTTCAAGCTCCAGAGATGATGACAACCTTCCCCCTCTCCTCATTCCTGAAGTACTTGAGGATTGCACACTGCCCTCATTTTGCACAGTCTTGTGATTAAAGGCAGGAGCTCTGGAGTCAGGCTGCTCCGAGTGGATCTCTGCTCTGCCATTTACTAACTCTGCCCCTTTTAGCTCTTTAACCTTGGACAAGTTTCCTCACTTCTCTCTGCCTCAGTTTCCTCATCTGTAAAATGAGGATAATAACAGAACCTATATCATCTGGTTGCTATAAGGATGAGATTAAATGAGTTAATAATATAAAGTGCTTAGAACAGTGCCTGGCACAGAGCAAGTGCTACACATGTTATTTGTAATTATTATTATTATCATTACTATTCAGTAACGCTGGTTCTCTGGGTAGTGATGGGAGAGAGAAATAACAGAATCTCTATGAGAATAACGTGGTAGTTTCTAAAAGATTGCCTCCCCAAAGCCTTTGTTCAGGGACACTGCTCTAGGCTAGAAATCCAATGATGTCCCAGGTTTTAGATCCAAAGAATAAGAAGCTATCCAGTGATAATCTATTGCTCTGTAGGCCAAGGATTGCAAATAGTTTATTTGATTTATTGGTTTACACATTTCTTTAAAAATACATGTAACTGTGATGTTTAATTTTCTGTGTCAACTTAATTAGGCTAAGGGATGCCCAGATAGCTAGTAAAATGCTATTTCTGAGTATGTCTGTGAGGGTGTTTCTGGAAGAAATTGGCATTTGAATTGGTGGACCAAGTAAAGAGTATTGCCCTCACTAATGTGGGTGGGAGTCATCCAATCTGTTGAGGGCCTGATTGGAACACAAATGCAGAAGAAGGCGGAATTTGTTTCTGTTTGAGCTCGGATATCCATCCTCTTCTGCCCTCAGACATTGGAGCTCCTGGTTATCCAGTTTTTGGAGTTGGATTGGGACTCATACCATTGGCTTCCCTGGTTCTCAGACCTCTGGGCTTGGGCTGAATTATACCACTGGTTTTGCAGAAGGCAGATCATGGGACTTTTTGGCTTTCATAAATTGTGTGAGCCAATTCCTATAATAAATCTCTTTGTATATATATCCTGTTGATTCTGTTTCTCTGGAGAGTGCTGATTAATACGGTAACTATATAGA
Organism: Homo sapiens; assembly: GCF_000001405.40. Lineage (NCBI taxonomy): Eukaryota > Metazoa > Chordata > Mammalia > Primates > Hominidae > Homo > Homo sapiens. Next base: position 86,285,640 of record NC_000004.12, on the reverse strand, counting down.
TGTTAGGCTTCTTTAAAATTCATGAATGAAATGACACTACACTCATATAATTGCTCTGTTCAGATAGGTAAATCTATCTGAGTTGTACGTAAAGAACTAGAAAGACATCTTAGAAGTGTTTTTAGAGGCCAGGCACGGTGGCTCACACCTGTAATCCCAGCACTTTGGGAGGTCGAGGCGGGTGGATCACGAGGTCAAGAGTTGGAGAACTGCCTGACCAACATGGTGAAACCCCGTCTCTACTAAAAATACAAAAATTAGCTGGGCATGGTGGTGTGCACCTGTAATCCCAGCTACTCAGTGGGCTGAGGCAGAGAATTGCTTGAACCCGGGAGGCAGAGGTTGCAGTGAGCCGAGATCACACCACTGGACTCCAGCCTGGGCAACACAGCAAGACTCCATCTCAAAAAAAAAAAAGTGTCATTTAGAATACATAAATTTTGCTGAAGAATGGTCTTTAAAGGTAAGATTCCATGATTTTGGTTAAAATTAGCACATTACTGGTCTACTCTACTGCATTTATTCCCACCTTCCACCTTAAATATAAAAACAGGAAAATATGAAAAGCCACAACAGGAACAAAAATGAGGATTGCTTATTTACTTCTGCTAGATTACAAGGATTTTTCATTCATTGAAAGGCCATGTAAATAAGACTGCAAAAGGCAATGGATAGTCCTCATGGACAAAAATAAAAATCCTGCTTTTCTGAGAGTAGCTATGAAGACTTTTTATTCTTTTCTTACTCCAAGCCCTTGACAGAATTAAAGATCTATACCTACTCACAAGGGATTCATAATCCTCCTACTGCATATGTACTGCATGTTTAGGCACTCAAATGCTGTTACCCAACTCTTACCAGAACAGTGTTTTCTATATCCATGAAAAGGCTGACTCTCTGTCGAGACAGAATCAGTGATGACAACAGCAACAATAATTCTGATAACAATCATTAGCATCATCATTAATATTTACTGGGTTCTTGTGCAAGCTGCTGTTCAAAGGACTTTTCACTTTAGATCTTGTTTATAATAAACATAATAACCTATGAGGCCGGTAGTATTATTCCTTTCCTACAGACAAGGAAACTGAGGCACAGAGCTCTGTGGAAGAAGTATTTCCAAAATACAGAGAGAAAGGACAATGAAATGATGACATCGAAGCTGATAGCTATGAAAATCAGGGAACATAACTCCAACCAACCATAGAATGGAAGTCGTTCAGAGGAATAAATGAAAATAACTGAAGTGAATCAATTTTCCCAGGCAAGGAATGGACCGAGCATGCGCAGCTCTCTGCTAAGGAAGTAGAGGCAGCAGAATGGAGCCTCTAGAGTCAGGCTTGCCAGAATGCAAGTTCTTCCTCTACCACAGCTTTGTGTTCTTGGGCAAATTACTTAACTCTTTTAAGCCTTAGTTTTTTTATTTGTAAAATGGAGATAATAATAGCATGTTCCTCATATAGTTTTTGTGAGGATTCAGTGAGTATTGCATTACATGTAAAAGGGTATATAAAACTGTCTGATACATAGTAAATGCTCAATAAATAATAGCTATTATTATTAAATTGTTGAAAAGAGAAAGGAGGAGGATTCATGCTCAAATAATTTGTGAGGTGCTGATTAATTGGGTTTCTTTATTATGCGGCTTCTCATAACCTTTAATATGCTAACCTAGATTGTAAAACTTCAAGAACATTCTCAGGTTTATTTGACTTGAAAACCCCCCTTTTCCCACATGGAGCACAGATAACATCTCATGGGACACTGGTGTTCTACAGATCACAGTGTAGGAAATATTCTTTATTTCACACACTTTATATACAAGAATAGAAAAACAGACATGAAAATGTCTTACATTGATAACCTGCACTACAAGCAACCATCAAAGGGCTATTTAGCTTTACAAAGCATCATGAATACACTTCTTTCTCCATTTTATAAAACCATGTATCCAGGCAGTCAAACCTGATGAACACTCCCTTTTGTCAGCATCATCACCTGGAACACTGAAAGTGTTCTCAGCACTTTACCCAAATGCTGTAAAAAATAAGTTAAAATTGGCACAGCTCCAGCCTTCTGGGAAATTTACTTTACCAGATTATAAATCCTTCAAAGTGTTTTCGGTTCATTGTGTCTTATCATGTCGTAAGGACACTGTTCTCTTGTGTGTTGAAATTGCATTTCTCCTACGTGCCCTATTTTGGTATTGGAGTGCTGTTGAATTAACATTAAAAGAACACACTATTTAGAAGTTTTGTGTCTCTGCTGCCCAGCACTGCTGGTAGATTATATTGATCAGCTTTGTTTTATTTAATCTTCTGGTGTCAAATGACATATTCTACATGGTTTTCCAGATGAGTTTTGTTTTATTCAGTCTTCTCATGTTGAATGACATATTCTACATGGCTTTCCAGAACTGGGCCAGGGCTTATTCAGAGAGAGGGTAATTAGCTTCTATAGGAATTATACCCATTATACGCCATTACTGGTAAGCTGGGTTAAGGAAATATAATTAGAAATAAAACTCCTGCTAAACCAGTGAATCCTTTTTATAAAAATGTAGAAAAGAACAAAATAGTGTTTTTATTGAATAAGCATTAAATCAGACTGTGACACACATTACAGATGATCTGCTAAGGAGATGAAAAAGAGGGAATGAAATCTCACCCTTTTATACAGCCAAGCAGATACAACCTATTACATGCATGTTCATTGTCTTTATCAAAATATAAAATAAAACCTCTTGTGTCTTAATGATAAGCAGGAAATTACATCACGGAGCATGTGCCTAGACTTTGATTCCATAGACATAGGGAAACAAGGGGACTTCCATCCTCTTGGATGTTCCCATTTCAAAGAAATGCCTCTGAAGCCTCAGGAAATACATTCCTAGGATGTAGAACTAGCAAGAGGCTTAGTAAGCTTTCAAAAAAGATTTATAAACACCTCAGAGAGACAGATAAAGCATTTAAAACTTCAAGTGTCCTAAGGGCGGGCAGGGAGAATACTCTTTCCCCTCTTGGTGCCAGGGAAAATTTTAAATTATATGTTTGTTTTCCTCCAAAATCTGTATTTACCTTTACAAGTTTCCTTTTCTGTTACTATTTTATAGTTGCAGTATAATTTTTTAAATGATCTCCATTGGCGTTTCTACTTTTTCTGGCTAGTTTGCAGTTGACTAAATATCCAGCAAGTCCATAATACAGTTATGAAACAAGCAATTATCAGAATTACAATAGGATGAATTAAAAAATTAAACACAATATTTGCCTGTGGGAATAACCTTTAATATCATAACAATGGTATAAGTCTCCATTAGAATTCTGAATTCTTGATTAGCCATGCATAAACATTGTCCATTACACATTAAATTCACAAAACATTGTGGAGATTTCTGCTTGTGCATTCAAATGATTCACTATTTGAATATTGTTTTGTAGTTTCTTATGAAATCTTAGCCTATATAAGCCTGAGCAACAGCTTATCTCTATAATCAGATCATCTAAATTTTTAATTAAGAGTTTTTCTTGAAAGGCCAATAAATTTCTCCTGAGTTCTTGTCTGTCACATAAATAATGTAGCATTTACATTTTAATCTAGTCCCTTCGATAATTATTCCATCTTCTTAAATTTTTCCCAGTTGTGAAACACAAAGATAGCCATGGCCTTTATCTAATATAAAAGTCTTATTAAAAGTCATCCATTAAAAGTTACAGATTGAAATTCCAGTGTTTGATTTGCAGTGGGTTGTCTTAAGGACAAACCCAAACTATGAGCCATTTTTTTTTTGCATCAGTCCAATCAATAGTTGTATTATTATAAAAGTCAATTAAGTCTCCATGAATAATAGACATCTACCTTTGTTTACTGTCAATCCCGAGACTAGGAAAAACTTGTGTTCTGGGCAAATGGGACATTCCTTGAAAGACTATGTGCTCTTCCTCAAGGAGCCAACATTCCAGTGGGATTTCCTTTCCCTTTAGCTTATTGTCTCAAACACCAGCTCAACAAGCTTCATTCCTGTTCAAAGTGTGGTCTGTGAACCACATTTTCAGAAGCAAAACTTAAGGACACTGCTCTTCTAAGAATTTATTTTATTATTTTATTTTATTTTATTTTATTTTATTTTATTTTTTATTTTGAGGGGGTCTTGCTCTGTCACCCAGTCTAGAGTGCAGTGAACGTGATCTTGGCTCACTGCAACCTCTGCCTCCTGGGTACAAACTCTTCTCCAGCCTCAGTCTCCCAAGTAGGTGGCATTACAGGTGTGCACCACCACACCCAGCTAATTTTTTTGTAGTTTTAGTAGAGATGAGGTTTCACCATGTTGGCCTGGCTGGTCTCAAACTCCTAACCTGAGGTGATCTGCCTGCCTCCTAAAGTGCTGGGATTACAGGCCTAAGCCACCATGCCTGGTCCTCTGAGACTTTAGAAACTGGGTTATGGGATATTGGTATTAAGATAAACACAGCATGGTTGTGGTTAGTTGCAAATAACAGAAACTGACATTTTATTTATTTATTTATATTTTTGCTTTTCAACTTCTATTTTAGATTCAGGGGATTCATGTGCAGGTTTGTCACAGGGTATATTGTATATGCTGAGGTTTGGGGTATGAATGAAACTGTTACCCAGGTAGTGAGCATTGTACCCTATAGGTGGTTTTCCAACCCTTGCCTCCCTTTTCCTCCTTCCCCCAGTAGTCCCAAGTGTCTTTTGTTCCCATCTTTATGTCCATGTGTATCCAATGTTTAGTTCCCACTTGTAAGTGAGAACATAAGGTATTTGGTTTTCTGTTTCTGTGTTAATTCACTTAGGATAGTGGCCTCTGGTTGCATCTATGTTGCTGCAAAGGACACGATTTTGTTCTTTTTTTTATGGCTTCATAGTATTCCATGGTGTATATGTGCCACATTTTCTTTAGCCAGTCCACTATTGATGGGCACCTAGGTTGATTCTATGTCTTTGCTATTGTGAATATTACTGCAACAAACATGAGTGTATGTGTCTTTTTGGTAGAACGATTTATTTTCCACTGGGTATATACCCAGTAATCCCATTAAATGGTAGTTCTATCTTTAGTTTTTTGAGAAATCTCCAAGCTGCTGTCCACACTGGCTGAACTAATTTACATTCCCTCCAACAGGGTATAAGAGTTCCCTTTTCTTCGCAGCCTTGCCAGCATCTGTTATTTCTTGGGTTTTTAATAATGGCTATTCTGACTGGCATGAGATAGTATCTTATTGTGGTTTTGATTTGCATTTCTCTGATGATTAGTGATGTGGAGCATTTTTTTCTTATGTTTGTTGGCCTCTTGTATGTCTTCTCTGGAGAAGTCTCTGTTCATGTCCTTTGCCCACTTTTTCATGGGGTTATTTGTTTTTTGCTTGTTAGTTTGTTTAAATTCTTTAGAGATTCTGGACCTTTGTCAAATGCATAGTCTGTGAATTTTCTCCTATTTTGTAAGTTGTCTGTTTACTCTATTGATAGTTTCTTTTGCTCTGCTTCTGCAGATCTTTAATTAGGTCCCACTTGTCAATTTTTGTTTTTGTTGCAATGCTTTTGAGGACTTAGCCACAAATTGTTTGCTAAGGCTGATGTCAAGAAAGGTATTTCCTAGGTTTTCTTCTAGGGTTTTTATAGTTTGAAATCTTACATTTAAGTCTTTAATCCATTTTGAGTTAATTTTTTAATTTAAGGAATAAAGAGATTTGTTGGAAGAGCATATGATGGCTCACAGAGCTGCAGGAGCACTGGAGATCCAGGGTTGGAAGATGGGCGGGAAACAACGTAGTCAGAGAAGCTCACAGCCTGATTTCCACTTGCGGGGAGTGTGGCTAGAATGCTGGAGTGAGGAATTTTCTGCTTCCTTGATTCTGCTAATTTGCCCCTTCACTCATTATCCTTTCAGGAATCGAAATTCCAATTGGGAGTGTTTGGTTAGTTGAGCCCCCCCTAGTAATGTCAGCTTCATTGCAGCAAGAGAGCAAAGGGAGAGAAACAGCTGTCCCACTTTGTTTCTGAAGTAAAAGACAGTACTCTGTCTTCAACTATTCTGGTGTTTCTGTCAAATGGTACTCACTCTGGGCACACACTGCTCTACCATATGCTTTGCATATATTAACTCATTTATTTTTACAACAGCTCTATGTGGCAGATATTATTCTTCCTGTTTGTACCATAAAGAAACTGGGCACTGAAAGTTAATTTAATTGCCCCACATCACACAGTAAGTGGTAGAAATAGAATCTGAAGCTAGGCTTTCAGGCTACAGGATGTGCGTACTTCTCTATCTGCTCAACCTTGACTAAGATAAGTGATCAGAGGCTTAGAAGATAAAAAAGAAAAGAAAACAAGATATCAAAGAGAAAACAACAAATCAATAAGACGGCCATCAAATGTGTGTTTTGTATAATGATAAACTGTGCACATTTCTGTTTTTCTCCATATACTATAAATTTATGTACTTTCAAAACTTAATTTTGTCATAATATTAGACTTACATAAAATTTACAAAGATAATATGAACAGTTCCCATACATGGTCTTCACCCAGCTTCCCCAAAGGTTAACACTTTACATAACCATGAAAAGCCAAAAAAAAGAAATGAACATTGAGACATTACTATTAACAAATGATGAACTTTAACATATTTCCCCAGTTTTCCCACCAATGTCCTCTCTCTCTTTCAAGATTTGATCCAGAATCCCACATTGTGTTTACTTACCATGTCCTTAATCCCCTCCAATCTGTGATAAATCCTTTGTCTTTCTTTGTCTCTTGTGACTTTTAACATTTGTTCAGGTAGTTTGTAAATCATCCTTCCATTTGGACTTGTCTTAATGTTTTCTTATGATTGATTGAGGTTATGAATTTGGGGGAAGGACTTTTTCCTGTGTATTCTATCAGGGAGTACATAACATTGATATGTCATATTACTAGTGATGTTAACATTGATCACTCAGTTAAGGTGACTATATGTTTATTTTTTAGTAATTTATTTTTAGTTTTTAAAAAATTGCTAGGTTAATGCTTCTGTTTGAAACTTCAGTTGATTTAACACTTCCAATATTTAGTAAATTTTATTCATTTTTTTTACTAGCGGGTTTTGCTGTATTTCAGAACCTTCAACTCATATAGATCCCTGAACTAGACATAACTCCTTTTGCCTTTCAGTCACTTACTGTGATTCAGAACATATTTCCTTAAACTACACATAACTAACGTTCCCTGTGATGTATAATAAGCTAAGTGGAAGATGATTGCTCCACTATGTTCATATTTTGGAGTAGACTCCATAGCCAAAGGCAATCCTTATTCTAATACAAAATGTACTAGGACACTAGGGAGTTAGTGAATTAGAATAAATTCTGTCTACTTGATGGGTATCCAGGCCATTTCTTTTGTTGTTTTTGAAAGCTACATTTGTTAGTAAGAACTTCAGACCAATTTGGCTATTAGCCTAGGTTTTATGTGAAACAATCTTGGATATTTAAGATTGTACGTCTGTCTTTTGATATGAGTAAAACATGCCAAAATAGTGATGTAGACAAAGTATTGTTATAGAAAACCCTTTAGCAATTGTCCCTGTGTAAGCCCATCCTCTTTTGTATGTTTTACTTATAACTGAGGTACATATTTAAAAACATCATGATGTTATACTTTGTGATATATATCTAAAATTTCTCCTTAATTTTTTGCATCCTTAGGAGTAGTATTCCATGTTTGTGTGTGCTTGTTTTTTCTTTGAAATAAATGGTAACATCTACTCCAAGCCTTCAACAGATAGCATAGATTGTTAATGTTTGGTAAACCGTTTGTTAACAAAATTAAATTTAGATGGTTGATAGTGGAGATGTGGCTAAAGGTAGGAAAATAATACAATTACATACTCATAATAAGCCAATGTTTGATGTGCCACCATCCTGGCAATGCTTTTAGATTTATCAACTAGAAACAAGTAACACTGGTTATTAAGCATCTTACTCTGTGTAACTTTGCTTGCAAATATAACTTAACACTTAAAAAAAGTTACTGTCTGCTTAACCATCTAGTCACATAAGCATTAGTTTTTATCTCAATACTTAGGCACTTTAAAAAGTAATCCAAGCATCAAATTTAAGCTTGTTATATTAGCTTTTAAATTATTTTATTAGATTATCACTGCTAAGAGCTAACATGGAACACTGGAGCCCTGGATTTTAATTTTAACATTAATATATTAGAAATCATAAAAATAAAAAGAACTCAGTTTCTTTCCCAGGATATGCCACAGATGATGTCTATAAACCCTTATTTCCTTTTTCTTCCCCCCAGTGGGTAATAGGGAAGTAGGAGAGAAGCCATTAGGCAGCAGGGAGCAAAAGGCAAAATTAAATGCTTTTGTAGACACTTTTTGCACTTTTTGCTTCAACCAGGGAGTCGGAGGTTGCTGTGAGCCAAGATTGCACCACTGCACTCCAGCCTGGCGACAGAGCCAGACTTTGTCTAAAAAAAAAAAAAAGATGGTCACAATTGGTGCTAGAGAGCTGGTATGAGCAGGATCCAACATATTTCTGGTTGGAGAGGAGAGAGAAGAGGCTCAGAGACAAGTAAGAGGACACTCTTCACACAGGGAAGAGATGATATGGTCTCAACTCTATTGGTGAGATGTGAGCAACTTCCAGAGATGTTGAAGTTATGGATAAAGAAGCAGTTTATAGCAATGGTTAAGGGTTAAGACTATACATAGACTCATAGACAGACTTTGGGTCCAAATCCTGGTGCTGCAACTTAACTAGCATTGTGATGCAGGGCTGTTTATTAGCCTTTCTGGGCTTCAGTATCTCTTTTCTAAATTGGTGATAATGATAGAACCAGACAATGATAGAACCAGATAATGATAGAACCAGACACTCAGCATTGTTATGAGGAATAAAGGAGTCAATACACATGAAGTGCTTCAATCAGTAAAAACCACTGTACATGTTATCTTTAGCCATGCAGAGGAGATACTGATAATTAATGATTAACGTGTTGATGGGTGGGCAAGGAAGGAGAAAGAGGAGTCAAGGTTGACTTGTGATTTTTTAGACTGTCCAAACAGGTAGCTAGAAATGTATCTAATTTTGATAATCTTCCCAGTGACTGCTTATCTATCTTTGCACTGTTCTGTCAGAAGCAAGCAAGCATGTATCTTTTTTTTAAACATTGGGTTCTCTTTGTTACAGCAGCTTAAACTACAGATATGGCGGGCTAGTACAGATGGATTCTATTTTCTCTGTGAGTGATGAGATGGAAGGGTTTTCTGAGAAATGAAAGTTAGTAGGAAAGGGCATAAGGTTTGAAAAGAGTGAAATTAATTTGAAACAGCTAGTGGTCAGGGGCCATGAGAGTAAAGATAGGTACTAGGAAAATATAGACACATTGTGTGATAATCTTGAGGAAGTAGAAGAGCACTGATTCATGGAGAAAGGAAACAATATAAATATGAATTAAATATAAACCCAACAAAATAGAAACAAAAAACTAACAATATAGGACACAAAATTTCTGCTGGAAATATTTACAGTTTTCAGAGTTAGTGTTAAAAATGTTTCAGCACAGTGAAGATCAAAAGTATGTTTTCAATGTTACAATACTTATTAAACAACTTGTGGATTCTAGTATTAATATAAGAATTTACAAAGTTTAGGGAGACATGGCTGCTATTCATGTACAGCCTTATAGATTTGTATGACTTTAAAGAAGTAAAATAGGCATTGACTGCCAGCAATATTTAAATACCAAATCAAATATAAATAAAGTGCTAGAAACATTGAGATTAAATAAGATGGAACAATGTTTTAGCCTTATCATGGGAAGCTTCCTGAAAGAGGTGGTTTTTTAACTAAAACTCAAAATGGATATATTTTTACACTTTGGAAACTAGAACACATATTATTGGTTGTATGCTTCTATTTTCATACATATTTTCTAGTGGTAGTAGGTTGGAGCAAAAGTAATTGTGTGTTTTTTTTGGCCATGAAAAGTAGTAGCAAAAACCACAATTATGTTTGCACCAAACTAATAAAATCATATTTGACTTTAGGATCTTTAGGCTGGGGCAGATGTAACACTACACTCATTTTTCATAGGCTGGTGAAATTTTCTCTGATATTTGCTGTCTTTTGGGTCTTCTACGTTGATAAAATATGATTTTATGTTAATATTCCTGGTATGAGCCATGTAGAATTAAGTATTTGGGGTCATTCGCTAGAAGTGGACTACATCATTTCCTTATCACAATTTTCACTTTAATCTGAAAAATTATATAGGTTATTTTGAGTTGAGATCTTCTTTACATTGTAGCAAGGAAACATCTAGTGACCTTGCATTTTACACAACATTAGCTACAATCTTATTTCCTAAATAGATGTTGAGATAATGTTTTTCACATTTTTGCTTATTTATTAGGCAGTATAAAATATAATTGGAAGAATTCTTTTAAGAGCCCATCATGATCAGAATTGCATATTTATCCTGTGAATAAATTGTTACACATTTAATGACTGCACAAAGTCATTGTCACAGGTTTAATTTTCTTTATTTTAATCAAGATCCTTTATTTTGGTAGTGACAACAGTTTATTCATCCTGGTGAATGGGGTTCTGAAGATGAGTAAGTGTGCTTGTATATGTAAAGCCTTAGAGAGGCTTTGTTTTCACTGGGAAAATATTTTAATTTGGGAGTCAGAGCCCTAAGCCAAATTCCTTCTTATCTTCCATTTAATTGAGAAAATTGCTTAATCTCAGTCTTTCTGTCAAGTTTGATTGACAGGTAACTGTTGGCTGTGAGGTGACTGTAATTATGAGTACCTTAAAATATCTTGAGACTGCTTGAAGAGAGGTGATATGTGTGTAACAGGGACAGAAATTATTAATGTGTGAGGAGACAGGTTTTCCTCTGTTCCTCTGCCTAATCAGTTTACCATGCAGATTGGCATCATCTTTAGAGGCTGAACAATAGAATTAAGGATGGATAAATGCATGGAGATTTTGTCTTGAGAAAAAAAGAGAATAGCAGAGGATATAAAGCAAGAGGGAAAAGAAAGTAAAGTCCCGTCAAGAGAAAAGCAAGATAGGAAAGGAGGTTTAGGGGAGAGGGGTGAAAGTGAGAGGCGAGAAAGCTGAGGTGTGGGGAAAATTGGCAATCAATTGGAATAGGAAAAAAAAAGATTATACATTAGATCTCTTTTAACATTTTCCAAGAGATGCACCTAGGAATTAGAATTACTTTAAATTACTTCTGGTTGCTGAATTTTATTTCTTTGTCTATATCACTTTGAACCAGATATTTGGATTTCCTGGAAAAAAACTCACACAAATGATAAATTAGCTCCTTATTCTGAAATACTTTAGAATAATGTTGTATCAAAATCCAGTATGGTAAAGGTAAAAGTATTTTCATATGACATTAATATCTTATTACTCAGAAAGTCTAATTTATATGACAATCTTGGGAGATATTAATAGATTTATCTCCAGCTAAAACTCAGATTATTATAACTTAAACATTTTCAGCTTAAGACAAATTCAGTTTTATGAAGACTAGTGTTTTCCCCTTACTTTTCTAACTTATAATTATTGTGAAATGTATTTTACCCTTTAATAGCTAAATCAATAAAATCCATTTTAAGTGAACTATTTTTCAAACAAGAATTTTCATAGTATTGATTCAAGATAAGAATATCACATTTTGATAAAAATCAGTGAAACTAGTAGCTCTCTAAATGCTGACTTTTCTAATTTGAAACTTAGAGATTCATCATGCTTAGAATGCTAAAGTTTTCTAATGTTCTTCTCTTTAATATGTAAGACACAAAGCCTCTTGAACATAAATTGCAACTCACAACTATAAGGAAAAGCACCAATGCTTTACCCCCTAAGTTATTTTAATAGAAAGGAGTATGAGGGAGGGGTATTAATGAAAAACAATGGCACAGTAGACAAATCAAAAATTGTGCCTACTGCTCATTGAATTTAATCAGTAAGGCTGTTTGATAAGTAGAGAAGTGGAATAAAAAAGCAGACCTAGATGCTACCAGGCCGTTTTATGTATTACGGTAAGTTAGACTGAATGGCTCTTGGTGGTAAGTATATTCTCTGGAGATAATAGGCACCAGTACAAAAATTTTGTACTGGTTTCTCCTAAAATACCTTTTTGACTTCTGTGAGGCCATGAGCTAGTTCATATCCATGCTAAAATGAAACATGTTTACTATTATTTCCCAGTTGATTTTATTTATAGGATTTTAGAGAAGGAGGGGGTATGAACCATTTTGAGGATTTTTGGATTTAGCTAACAGGTGTGGCTTTTCTCTTGGCTTTGTTAACTGGTCAGAATAATTGCCTTTCTTTTGTTAGGCTTTTGCTTTGAGCAAGATAAAATTCTTCTCTCACATAGCCTTTATTTTCTTTTTATTACGTTAGACTTTGTGATTTTCTTGAAGCAAGAATGCTGATGTGTATGTACCCTATATTAAAAAGAAATTGCAGATTTCAAAAAAATGGTAAAATAGTGAGATTCCATAATTAAATGTTGTCACCTTAGTTTTTCCTTATTTTATTTTGTAGCATTTTAAAAAGTGCTGCAAAACAGCATTGTGGTATATTTATTAAAAAGAAGGCTGGTATCCGTGCCATAGACTTGCCATGCAGAATGGGCAGCTGTATATTTGCAGATGACTGCTAATGTGGATGTCTGGATAGAAGATCAAATTATTTGCCTAGCCTAGTGCATTTTATAAGAGCAGCAGATGATGTAATTAGCTCATCATGCATGCAGACTCCAGGATGTGTGAGATCTTCCTATGAGACCTCCTATGGCTTGGGCTACCAGCAAATCTCCTGGAAAAGGTGAAATTTGGTTACAGGCAAATGTCATGTGATTTGCCCTGCCTAGACCTATGAACCATTTTTAGCCCACTTCTGTTTGGGTTATTCTTATACAGACAAGAGTTACATTAAGCAACAACAATGACAATAAAAAGGCTGGCAAAGTGTAAATGAAAAGAATTGATTTTGAAGTGCTGATCTTAGATATCTAGTGTTTTTATGTTTCTCGGCAAAAATCTTTCACTTAAAACTGAGTATAAATGTATGAAAAAACCTTAACCTCTACTTTATACCATATAAAAGTTAATTTGAGATGGATCATAGACTTAAACATATAATCTAAAATCATAAAACATTTAGAAAAAATAATATATATTTTTTACCTTGAGATAGGCATAAACTTTTTAGAGAGGAATTAATTATAAAGGAGAAAAATATAGTAAATCAGTCTTCATCAACATTTAAGGGTTCTGCTCATTAAGAAATAGTGCTGGAAAGATGCAAAGGCAAGCCACATGCTGGGAGAAGGTACACACAATACAGAATTTGACAAAGGACTTGTTTTCAGAATACGTTAAAAATATTCCTAAGCTACTATGCAGTCATAAAAAAGAATGAAATCATGTCCTTTGCAGCAACATGGATGCAACTGGAGGCCATTATCCTAAGTGAATCAATGCAGGAGCAGAAAACCAAATACCGCATGTACTCACTTAAAAGTGGGAGCTAAACATTAGGTACTGAAGGACATAAAGATGGCCACAATAGACACTGGACACTACTAGAAGTGGGAGGGGGAGAGAAGGGGGCAAGGGTTGAAAAATTAGCTGTTGGGTACTGATATGGTTTGGCTGTGTCTTCACCCTAATCTCATCTTAAATTGTAGTTCTCATAATCCCCACATGTCATGGGAGGGACCCAGTGGGAGGTAGTTGAATCATGGAGGGCAGTGACCCCCATGCTGCTGTTCCTATGATAGTGAGTGAGTTCTCATGAGATTTGATGTTTTTATAGGGGCTTTTCCCCCCTTTTGCTTGGAACTTCTCTTTGCTGCTGCCATTTGAAGAAGGATGTGTTTGCTTCCCCTTCTGCCATAATTGTAAGATTCCTGAGGCCTCCCAAGCCCTGTGGAACTGAGTCAGTAAACCTCTTTCCCTTACATAATAAATCACCCAGTTTAGGGTATGTCTTTATTAGCAGCGTGAGAGTGGACTAATACAGGCATCATGCTCACTACCTGGGTCACAGGATCATTTGTACCCCAAACCTTAGCATCACAGAATATACCCAGGTAACAAACCTCCATATGTACCCTCTGAATCTAAAATAAAAGTGGAAAAAATTATTAAAGTTTTCTTAAAATAAAAAAACTGAATTTGCTGATAGAAAATAAAATATTTCTGAATCAATAATGACAAACAAACCAGTTGAAGAAATGGGGCAAAGGACTTAAAGAGATACTTAACAAAGGAAGATATAGAAATGGCCAATATGCACTCAAAAAGGGACCAACATTATTAGTCATCAGAGAAATGCAAATTAAAACCACAATGAAATACCATATCACACACACTAGAATGTCTAAAATGAAAAAAATGACGATATTAAATGTTGGTGATGACATGGAGCAACTGGAGCTCTCAAATACTGCCAAGAGGAGGATAAAATGGTACAACCTCTTGGAAAAGCAGTTTGGTAGTTTATTATTAAATTAACATTTACCTACCTCTGCTCCAGGAATTTTACTCCTAACTACTTATGATCCAAGAGAAATGAAAGTATATGTCCACAAAAAGATTTGTATGTAAATGTTTATAGCAGCTTTATTTATAATTTTTCCGAACTGAAAATAACCCCAAATTTCAACAAGAAGTGAATAAACTATAGTATATTCATTTAGAGAAATACTAACAATAAAAAATATTTCATCAACTATTAATGCGATCTGCAACATGCATGAATCTCAAAAACATCATTCTGAGAAAAATCAGCCAGGCACAAAAAAGTACTCATGGCATGATTCCATTTTATGAAATGCAAGAACAGGTAAAACTAATCTATGGTGATAAAATTCAGAATAGTGGTTGCTTAGGAGGTGTGGGGATGGCCTAGAATGGATATTTGGGAATTTTCTGGGTTAACATCTGGGATATTCTACATTTTTATTGGGGTTGTGGTTACAGGGTGTATGTAGATATCAGAAATCATGACTTAAGGCCTGTGTGTTTCACTTTATGTCAATTTTACTTGAATTAAAAAATTCTAGTTACATTAGACTATGATAGCGCTTTGCCTTACTAAAATTTTGATTGAGACTGTAAAATTTACAACAGTGTTCTCCACATTTAGATATAGTACTTATTCATTTTTTCTCTTTGTTTTGTACTTGGGAAGGAAATTAAAAAAAATAGCACACATTTTTTTTCATTCATTGCTCATATTTCTTCACTGTTTCCTGTTTTAGGTAAAGAGTAAACGAAAATTACCTCCCAAGAAATATACTAAAATGTTGAGTCTTATAAGTCAAACTAATCTCTTTATTTCATGTGTTAGAATGCTGAGCAACTTTTGAACAGTAAGATCCCAAATTTCCGGTTTGAATTACAACATAATAGAATTTTGCATTCAATTTCTGTGCTTAAATGGATGCTGGAATAAGTTAAATTGTGTAATGCTTTTAAAATACTTTAAAGTTTTTGAAAAATGTTTCTTGAAAAATTTAAGATATTTAATCATAATATTTGTATTTTTTATTTAAAATGGAGAATTTTTGTTATAAATAGATGTAACATCTTCAAAACACCTTTCAGAATTTTTGGACTATAATATACAATTCACAGGAAAACAGTCTGAGGGATAAAATGCTTGCTCACTGCACAAATGTCTTTTAATCAAAACTTTTTTACTAAGTATCTTTATTACTGTTATACAGGAACCTTGCTATTATAATTTTTCTTAAGGAGTGACACCAAATATTGAATTTGTTGTCATAGTGACAAGCAATTTTGTATTAGGATGAGGTTTAATTGCTTTCTTATAATCTGTGATTTGTTATCTAGAAAATCATTTTTAAATGGGCTACATTTGTGTTTGCCAGAGCAGGTAGGAATAGAGTGCTGCAGTATTTGAAGTGGAAATGCTCTCCAAGTGGGAGTAGAGACAGGGAGGAAAAAATAATGTGAATTAATAAATGAAGGAGGCTGGATAGAGGCGAGAGAGTAGGTGTAAAGATGCAGGGCCTTGAGGGCTGAGACAAGATGTACAGACTGTGCATTCTGGTAGGCACTCAAGCACTTTCTGAATTGAATTATTAAGACTTAGGAAGCCAGAGGAAGAACTTAAGGAGTGTGGTGAGGTAGTCATGGTGATAAAAAGGGAAGATTTTAGAAGATGCAATTTGAATTAACTGGAAGAAGAGATCTGAAGCAGTGAGTCTTGTAAAGAGAAATTTGAATTTATCAAAATGACAGAAACCAAAAACATTAAGGAGTTTAGGCATATGTCATAATGACAGGGCAATGTACTCACTACACAGCCTAATGGCTCATTCTAATAGACTAGTGGGTTCAAATAATTTATGTAGTTTGTGTCTATGAAGTGTGGAGAGGAACACTGAGAATATCACATTGCAGGCAATCGTTTATTTACTTATCTTTTTATCTCATGGTACTGGTATTTATTACTTTCACCTTCATATAGCCTCAATATTTTGAGCCCAGAAAGGTGCATTTTAGTCATTCAAAAAATGTTAGTAGACATTATGAAGTCAGCCAACAAATCATTACCGTATATGTAATACCATGTACTGGGCACTATTCTAGACACCAGGAATGTAATGGAGAACAACACAGAAGTAGTCACGTTTCTCAAGAAGTATATATTTTACTGCTGAGAGAGTGGAGGAGACAATTTTTGTAATTTATTCATTCACTTATTCATTCATTCACATACTGATACATGCTATGATGCATTTAAAAATGGGATAATATACAAGAAAGTGACAAGACTGGGCCAGTAATTTTAGTTAGAACTGTCAAGGAAGACCTCTGGGAGGAAACCACATTTCAGTTAAGACTTGAATGGTGAGAAGGCAGCCATATGAAAATCTGGGGAAAGAGTATTTGAAAATGAAATCATATGAAATGCAAATGAACCTAGGTGGAGATGAGTTTTGCATGTTCAAGAGAGAGAAAGAAGGGCAGTGTGAGAGAAGTAGAGTGAACAGTAGAGGACCGAGGGGCATGAGACCTGAGGGGCAGTTGAAACACCATCAAGGCAGAGCCTGTGATAAAGGCTTTAGGTTTTATTCCAGTTGCAGCAGGAAACCAGGGAGGCAGGGAAGTGATATGCTCTGATTTATGGTTTAGAATTGTCATTTGGTTGCTGTGTGGACATTAAGACTGAGATAGAAAGCAACTAGGAGCCTCTTGCAAGAATTCAGGTGAAAGATGATAAAGGTTGGAATCAAGATGTCACAGTAAAGATGGTGAGAAGATGGTGTGTATCTTTGTGGTAGAGTGGACATGACCTGCTGAAGAATCCTATGTGGAGTATGGGGGAAGACAGGAACCAAGGATCACATGTAAATTTTCTGCTTCAGCAACTTGGTAGATAATGTGGCTATTTAAAGAGATGACAAAAGGTAGGTGATGGGAGAAATTTGTGTCTCTCTGTGTGTGTATGTATGTACACACATGTCCATTATAGTTTCACATAGGCTGTGTTATTGATCCAATGCATAACTTTCAGTAAACATTTCCTGAGCACATCCTGTGTTCCAGCCACTGGCCTAGGTGTTAGGAAAACACTAAAAAGAAAATAGAGAGACTTGCTTCCAAATAATTTACATTGTAATAGAGCGAGCCAAGTAATGAATAAGTAGATATGCTTTACTTTGTTAGATGTTAACAATGTCTATGGATAAATATAAAAACAGAAGAGGAAGGGAGAGTGCTGAAGGTAGAGATAGGTTTTGCTAATTTTTTTTTAAGTGAGATCATGGAAGGCCACTTTAATAAGGTGTTGTTTGACCAGAAGTTTGATGAAAGTGGGGTACCAGTCATGTGAGCTTCTAGGAGAAAGAGTTCCAGTCAGAGTGAAAAGCAAGTGCAAAAATCATGAAACGGGTGTGTGTTTGACTTATTGGAGGAACTGCAAAGAGGTCAACATAAATGAACTGGGGATAAGGAGAATGGCAGCAGATGAGGCCAGGAGAGGCAGGGAACAGATCATTTAAGATGTTATAGACCATTGTGAACAATTTGCCTTTTACTCAGGGTGAGAAGCCAATGGAGGATTTGGGGCAGAGGGATTTGGTCCTGTAGGTCTCAAAGCAAGTAGTATTTCTAGACCTCCAAGTGGCTGATCTTGTACTTGAGGGGGCAGAGTAGCTTACAGGAGTACACAGAGCATGAAAGCCTTGGCACAGCTGGAGTTACTGCTTAGGAGGACAAGGATAAATAGAAATAATTACATTTACGTGGCTTTTGATTCTGACGCTTTGTTAGAAACTTTATTTTGGCTATTTACAAACCTGAAGGAAGGCAATTTTATTTTTCCATAATCAAATGGAAATATTTGTGGGAAATCTATGCTAAAATAATAACTTCTGTGAACTTTTCTGTTCAGGACAGTATTTATTTTGTAGCCATTAATTCATTTTCAAATGATTGCATGTCATTTACATTTGAATAACACACCTGTTAATTAGTTTCATCTAATCAGTCAGCATAGAAGCTTGTGCTGGAGACCAAAATGATTCATACAGCTTGGCTCCTGAAATAAATCTGGACTCCAATTTAAAAGAAAATACATAAATACATATCTATACCACCAATACACATCCATACCACCAAAAGAAAATACATAAATACATATCTATATATAATAAAATGTAATTTTGCAGAAAATATTATATAATATTATATAACACTACTTGATGTGTTATTATATTTTTAATATCTTATACTGCCTAGGTCTGGTTGTTTAGATGGTTATATAGATGTAGATTTAGTAATAAATTCAAAGCTTAAGAGGATTAACTGAATTTCAGAGTTGCAAACATAATAAAGCTTCTCAAAATTCTGGTTCATTTATGATTCACTGAGATATTATTGATGCATACTTCTCAATCAAGTATCAAATAAGTTTCTTCTGTTATTTATTTATTTTTACATGATTTGAATGGATATTTTTATGATGTGTACCAATTGCTACTCTAATTGACTTGTAGTGGTAGAGAAAGTAGGAAATATCTATTTGGCTTAGAGGATGCTGACATCCCAGCCTGTTTGTACAAATGGAACCAAATTATAACACTCAAATATTATTGCCAGTTAGTACTCTGTTTTGCATGCATTAACCCTTCAAACCTCACAGCAATACTGTGAGGTAGAGACTATTAATACAGATGAGGAAAAGGAAGTACTGATTGTTGAATAACTGTCTGTATGCCGAGGTCATACAGCTATTAAGTAGTAGGCAAGTATTTGAAACCAAGGCCTTTTGACTCCAGAAAAACCAAATCTTACTGTGATTGGCTTATTTCACATATCTTGGGAGCTCACAGGAGTTTAACCTGGTGAAACTGAACTCCAGCCTCCATTTACCAGATATTCCTCCTCTCTTCCTCTGTTGTTTCTTACACCTAGTGAGCACCTCAGGGAAATTTCACAAAGTTCGTCACATGTTCTTTTGAATTTATCTGCCAAACAAGTTTACCACATTTCTGCCAGTTCTTCCTTTTTGATTCCACCTTTCCCATACCCATATCTCTGTTTATGAGGCAACTATATTGTTAGATGCGAAAATGCTGATGTCTGTGTTAAAGGTATTTTTCCTTGCTGCTTGGAAAAGTCGTTAATCCTCAAGGTCAGAGCAGGCCTAGGATTCATGCAGAAGCGGTAATGAACCCCAACTCAACAATGGGTGGCATGCTGTCACTTTGACATTGAAATAGCACTGCTTGTGGGCAGGACTTCAGAAAAAAACTTATTAAAAGTAGATTCTCCAGCTTCTACACTTAATGTGGCTCTCGATTTGTGCTTCAAATATCCTGAGGGGTTAAATGGGACCCTAAGCATTTTCCTATCCTTTACATCTCTTTCTCTTCTCTTACTGCCCGAAACAAAGCAAAATGAAAAACCCTTTCCTTTCTCTTTCACCAAAGCCATTGCACTTCAAGTTATATAAATGGTTACTCAAACAGATTCCATAACTTGGCAGGCCACTTTGGGGTTTAATAGTGAATCCATATCATAATACTTTTTTTTTTTTTTTGAGATGGAGACTTGCTCTGTCACCCCAGCTGGAGTGCAGTGGCATGATCATGGCTCACTGCAACCTCCGCCTCCCAGGTTTAAGCGATTTTCCTGCCTCAGCCTCCTGAGTAGCTGGGATTGCAGGTGCCTGCCACCATGCCAGGCTAAATTTTGTATTTTTAGTAGAGATGGGGTTTTGCCATGTTGATCAGGCTGGTCTCAAACTCCTGACCTCAAGTGATACACCTGCCTCCCAAAGTGCTGGGATTACAAGCATAAGCCACTGTGTCCGGCCCATATCATAATACTTTTTAAGGCTGTTGGGCAAAGGAATGCTTCTGAACAGGCTCAGGATCCCCATATAAATTCCAGGGTCATTGGGAGGCCGAGGCAGGTACGTCACGAGGTCAAGAGATCGAGACCATCCTGGCCAACATGGTGAAACCCTGTCTCTACCAAAAATACAAAAATTAGCTGGGTGTCGTAGCACACACCTGTAATCCCAGCTACTTGGAGGCTGAGGCAGGTGAATTGCTTGAACCCGGGAGGCGGAGGTTGCAGTGAGCTGAGATGGCTCCACTGCACTCCACCTGGGTGACAGAGTGAGACCCCACCACAAAAAAAAAAAAAAAAAAAAAAGTCCAGGGCCATCAAAAACCTAGAGAAGGGGACATAATTTAGCAGAAAGAAACATATTAATGAATTCTGTTTAAATCATGAAGAGATGGGTGCAAGGTTAGTCTTAGGCACAAATGTGAATTTGACAATGTTTGTCTTCAGGGTTGCCCGTCTTTTCTTTCTCAACCATTCAGTTTCCTCCCTGGCATAGTCCTTTATCAGAATCAGGAAAAAACAAAAACAAATCTCACTGTAAATTAAGTTTAATAACTTTGTGCATTTTAAACTTATTTCTAATTAGAAGATGACAGGCTTCATTATTATCAAAGGAGCTTCAGACTTCATTGTGGGGGACTAGAAAGGGAGAAGACTTAAGAAGTCTTTTCTGGCAGCCTTACAAATTGCAACTCACAACCTACCAGCTATTCAGCCTATAAGGCTGATTCAGTTAGTGGGGCTATTTAAAGATTTGTCTAATGCATGCTGAGAAGTTAAACAGAAGTATCATGTCTCTTCTTGTTCTTGGGTGGTGTGAAATTCATTTGCCTTGGAAGGTTTTTTTAACTCTGTGAATGTTTGCACTTTGAAAGACCATATTCTTAATTTGGAATGGCAACTGTGCCAGATATCTTGGCAACTTTACAAAAAATAACTTTAATGTTAAAGGAAAATTATACACAATGAAGGCTGTCATAGTATGTTGCATTGATAGGGGAAAGAATGGAATTAATATAACATTTTCTTGTTAACTTCAAATTTCAAAATTAAAACACATTTTAATACAAGCAAGAAATAAAATAATAAAATTCTGGAACATATAACTTTTCTGCTCTTTATATTCGCAGTAACTAGAAACAAGAAAATATTTTCTATTTAAGCAACAACTATAACCAATAATGGTGATAATTTGTTATTGTGAATTCATATGAGAGAAATTAGCAATGAGAGATTTTTGCAGCTAAAGAGAATTTTAATGCCTCTCTATTTAGCTGAATGGACCTTTGGAAATGATTCCTTAGTTGGAATGTGTTTGGGTTACAATGATGTTATCAATAATAATATAGTCTACCACTATTTTTTCAGCACATATTGTGTGCCAAATATCAATGCATATTTTCAGTGTCTATCAAAAAACCTCACAGGTAAAGATAGGTCTTGTTCTTCCTAATTTGCAGAAGAAACAGAGGCTCAGAGAGTTTTGTCAACTTACTCAGGCACCAGTAAAGTGGTCAAATTGAAATTCAAACCCTCATCAAGCCAGACTTAAAGGCTTTGTTCTTTCAACTATATCCTGCTTATGTCTCCAAAACAAAAATTAATCCCTATTTGTCATGCCAGTATATAAGTGGCAGTGGCTATAAGGGAGGGACAGTTAGTTTGGACCAGGGAAAGTAAAGCAAGGTCTTGTTGGAGGGAGGGCAATGAGGAAACACCAAGGGTTAAAGGCGATTCCAGCTAGATTAGACCAGGAAAAATAGTATTTATCATCATACTTCTAGGAGAAACAGGAGCACCAATGGTGGGTCATGGCTGGTGGTTGAACCAAGTAGACTCATTAGTAGCAGGAAAATATATTGCAAAAGATTTGAAAAATAGCTAAAGAAAAGGTATTCCAGTTGAGGATCTTAAAGAAACATCATGCTTACATTTGGCAATTTCAGGAATATCTAATAAAAGAACTAATTTAAACATGTGGACAGGATATAGAGAAGTAACAAGGGACAATGTGATCTCCTGAGGAAAGTAACAACAAGAAGCTGTTACCACCACTCATACACCTGACATGGTGACAGACAGTGACTCCTGAAACCTGGAGATGATAGTTAGTGTGGAGAGGGTCATATCACAAAAGCTGTGACCTTTGCAGCCCCTGATTCACCACACAGGTAGGGAGCTGGAGGAGTAAATACTTCATCTCCTGTCCTACTGTCCATCCAATAACTTATTGTGGCCTTTGTTGGTACGACAGGAAGCTGGAGGGCAAGGTAGTCTGTTGATAAGTTCCATGCTGCCCAGCCTCCTGGACACAGAGTAGACTGGAGAAAAGTTGGAGAGGAGATCTGGAGGTGCAAGTGGAAGTTAGCCAGCACAAGATGTTAGGCAGAGAATCAAGAAACTTGCTTCGGAATCAAGCATAGGGCAGAGCTGGGGCAACTGAATAGCTGGATTAGGATCAAATGAGACTTGAGAGCTGAAGCTCTAGCTTCCTTTTTTCACTGTATTGGTTAGAATCATTCATTCATTCACTCATTAATTAATTAATTGCTTAATTTATTCAACAAAACATTCTTCAGTTCTACTATATGTCAAGCATATGGTTATCGTACTAGGTTCAGTACACACTAGGAGCCTAGTCATGAGGCGTGTTAAAAAGGCAACCAGAAACCTCCTGACATGCTTATTAATTACTTATGTATTATTCTATTATCTGCCATTACTTTGCCCTAAACTCTGAAGGTGGGGGCCAGGGGGTCTTTTTAGGTTCTTAGTCTGCTTTATGCGGCTACAACAGGGTACTGGAAACTGGGTATTTTATAAAGAACAGCGATTTATTTTTTATAGTACTGGAGCCTGGGAAATCCGAGGTCGAGGGACCCATATCTGGTGAGAGCTTACTTTTTGTGTCATCCTGTGGCTGAAGGCAAAAGGGCAAAAGATTGTATGTGCATGAGAGAGGGGAGGGGGAGGAAACCCACTCCTGTGATAGCTAACCCACTCCCGCTATAGTGACCTAATCACCTCTTAAAAGTCCCACCTCTCAAAAGTCCCACTTCTCAACACTGTTGCATTGAAAATTAAGTTTCCAACACAGGAACTTTGGAGGACACATTCATAGCAATTCATAACAAATCATAGCGCAACAAATCATAGCAGTTATATTAAATAATTAGACTCACAAGATTATCATAAATTACACATGGCATCAAATTTGCTTAGAAGCATATGGGACAAGAACCTTAGTTGCCCAGCAGGGCAATGTCAGTTATTACTCTTCTGTGGAACTAGCCCTCACGGCAGTGCATGGTGAAGTCTTTGCTGCAGCACAAGAGCTATACTCTTTGCTTTCTCTTTGCTATGAAAGAATGATTCTCAGAGCAGCTGTGAAAATTCCCCTGGTTTAAAAACCACATGTCCCACAGGAGCCAGTATCTTTTGTAACAACTCCATAGGCAGGGCTTCTGTGGTCTCTGAAAAAGGCATGTCCAGTCACAAAAGTCTAAAGCTATAGTATCCCTATCAGGTATTTATCATTTATTTATAATTTTTCTCACTCCACATACAATTAGCCAATCAGTTTATTTTTACCCCAAGCAATCCTGCCTATTAGCATATTTGACATACTTCCTTTATCAGGTTGTCAAGGGAATAGATCTAGAAAGTGAATTAAAGATCAGATTCTAAGGGAGAAAGGGAAAATATTTTGTTAACCCTTTACCCACACACATTATGCTTCTAATTAGGGATTTGTTGGATCAAACAGAACTAGAGAAAAGTTTAAAAAGGCACGTGACAGTTAAAGTTCCTAACTTGGGTAGGGTTTGGCATATCTACAGACAAATTTAGCTCCTGTTACAAAAAAGAAAACCCATATTCCACTTTGCACCAGCAAATGATTTTAAATTGTCAAAGTGATTCAACAGTATCATCCAAAGAGGTGGTCAACAATTACGTGATGAATTATTATTGAAACTATTATTATTGTGAAGGACAAGTTGCTGGATCTACTTCTGTATTAAGGTAGGCCTTGGAATGAGCTGATATCTTAATATTTAGTTTGCAAAGCGCTAAAACATTACAAAGATGCTGTATTTTCTGTGTCATGAAAAATGGATTAGCATAGCCATTGAAATATGTGTCAAACATCTCAAAGGTTAATTGCTTCTCCTTTGTCCTCTTATAGGACACTAAACTTTTCTTATTATGTTGTATTGTACTTTTTTAGTAAAAAATTATCCCCACTGGACAGTAAACCCTCTGAGGACAATAATGATGTTTATCTCTTCATTGCATCCACAGCATATAATGCAATGCCTTGCATAGTAAATACTTAGTAAAGTTAGTTGAATAAATGAATGAATAAATGAAAGAATGTAACTATAATTCATATTATAGTGGACTGAAATTTTGGATAAAATATTTCTTATAGGACTAACTGTCTTTGTTCAATGGTATTAAAATCTGACTTCCCTATAATTTTATTTTCTATAGAAAGCCAGTCACGTGTTTTCTTTTAAGAAAGATATATGAAGAGTGACCCATTGATTGTTAGAGAATGCAGACAGCTTTGATTTGTAGTACATTTTTCTACAGGGAGCTACTATGGAAATTATTTGCCAGGGTGCCTAAGAACTCTCCCTTGAACTTCAATGGACTTTTAATATTATCTTTAAGGTCCTCGTAGAACAGTTCTTAAGACTCATAGATGAAATTCAATTCACAGAATCCACTGCAAGAAAAGAGATTCTCAAATTTATTTAGAGAGTGATGCAGTACAAATCCTAAAGAAAGAAACCACTGTTGGAAGTTTAGCAATTTATTAGACTAATAATTCCACATGTTACATTTGATAGTGATTTAAAATTTACAAAATATTTTATGTGCTATTTTAATTAAAACCCTATTTTAGAGATGAAACTCGTATTTTACAAATGGAAAGCCTCAAAACAGAATGACATTGAACACAGAAGCTCTAGAATCAAACAGCCTGGGTCCAAAATGAGACTGAGTGATCTTGGGTAAAATACTTTATTTTTAGGCTACTCAGTGTCTTCATCTGGAAACTGGGGAAAATGATAGTGCTTGTTGTATAGGGTTATTGTGAGAATTGTAAAATGCAAAACTCTTAGAAGAGTGAATGGCTATTATTAACTTACTTGAAGCCAAACAGTTAATGAGTAGTAAAAGAGAAATTTGAATCCAGGTTGTCGGTTTTCAACTTTAGTATTATTTTCACCAAACTCCATTGTATATGTAATATTTATTTGACTTTTATTTAGAATGATGCAGATTTTGCCCATGTATCACTTCCTCTGACATTTGGAGATAACATAGTTTAATTATAAATGTATGGTTTATCTCTGAACTGTGATCATCTTGGTTAAATTTATTGGATAATGGCAGATAGCTGATGGTTTTCATTTGTAGATGCAAATGGCTTGGATGGTAATGTTGTAAAATTATATCTTTATATATTTATTACAGAAAATTCAGTGTACCAAGTCACTAATCACCTAATGATTATTCAAAATTATAGAAAAAGCATCACTAAGATATGAAAGCAAGGCTTTCTTTGATCTATCATAAATACCTCAGTTTCCCACTATTGGAAATATAAATCTCTTAATGTGGTTTGAATGCTTCCTGGCTGCATAAAGCACAGATTCATTTTCACATTCACAGTACCATTTTTACCTCTATACAGAGCTGTTTGGTAAAATATCTTATTTAACTTAGAAATAGTACTTTACAGAAGACATATAAATATAAATCTAGGTTACAATCATGTGAGTGAAAGGCTATGGTAGGTTGGAAGAGAGTTTGAATATTTTGTGTTTGTGTTGTCTGTGGGACCTCCAAATGTAGATGTTTAAGAAGACATTAGATATATGGATTTGGGATTTAAGAGAAAGATTTGGAATGGAAATATAGATATTTCAGAAGCTAACATGAAGGAGATAGTTTCAATCATGACAGTGGCTGAGATGTCTCAGGGAGAAATATGAAGAAAGAGCCTATGTAAGGAAACTTGGGGAACATTAGAAGTTAAGGGATATGTAGCAGGAGTTGCAAAGGAGACTGAGAAAGAAAAACTCAAGAGTCAGGAGAAAAGCCCAGAGAGACTGTTGCCCTGGAAACCAAGAGATCCATTCTTCTGACAAACATTTTTTGTTATTACTTTATATAAAATGATAAAAATCAGTGAAAACAGCAAATTAGCTTATATGCTACCGAAATGAGACAGAAATAAATAAGTAAATTATACATTTTGTTAGAAGATGTTAAGTACAATAAAAATATAATAAAGCAATGTAAGAGAGACTGGGAGTGCAGGAGTCAGTGCTGCAATTTTAAGTAACAGTCTGGTTAGGTAAGTCTCACCAAGAAGCTGGCATTTTAGCAAAGACTTGAATGAGGTTAAAGGAGAGAGATATAAATAATATCAAAAAGGATGCAGTAGTCTATATTTTTCAGAAGGGTTAGGTAAGATATGAATTGAAAGTTTCCATTTGGGTTTTTTGAAGTTCGGAGTCAACACTGAGACAAAAGCAAAGATTTGGTGGCTGGAGTGGGATAAAGGGCAGATTGCATTGGATAGAGGCATAAATTTATGGTGAGGAAGAAAAGACAGCAAGCATGCACTATTCTTTCTACCAGTGTAATTGTGAAAGGAAAAGGAAAAAACAATGTGGTATCCAGAGGGGACATGGATTCCTAAAGATTTTGAACATAATTATAGATACAGTGGGGGTAAACCAACATAGAAGGGGTTTAAAACCCAGGAGTTGACAGGAGGATGTTAATTTATAGGAGGAGGCACCTGAGAACAAGGAAAATGGGGAAGAGAGAATAGTACATAAATGGAGAACGAGCTCCTCCACTTGGAAAAAAATGAGTAAGGAAAGGTTGAGTTAGTTATACACAATCTAGTGATGGGGAGAGGCAAATGATGACTTTCGTCTATGAAGTAAGGAGTTAAGGTGATTTGCTAAAAATGATAAGGTAGGTAATGACAATAGAGATCCTGCAATGATTTCATGTGGACTCTGTGGGACAAAGAATAAGGAGATGACCAGGACTGCAGACCAATTTTCAGAGTTTACTTGAAGCCGGAATCCTTTTTTCATGAATTTTTCATATCATTCATCTTCACGATTGAGCATTGTGACTTTTCTCTAGTAGGTCCTATCAGTCTAGGCATAGAAGAAGAATGAATATACAGCTGAACTGATCCAGGTCTGAAGTTTTGCCTTGTGTGTGTGATGAATCGATCAGGAGAATGTGTTAAGGGAGTCTGCAAGAGTATATTCAGAATGACACTTAGATTAGTTGTAGAAAAGAGAATAAATAGGAATGGACTGATGAATTGGGAACAAATGGAGAGATTAAAGGGAAAAGGGCATGGAATGTGTGTGAGGAACTGATATAAGAGGATGTGGTTCAACAAATTTGAACTTGGAGTTTAAGAGTTAAAAAATGGAATTGTTCTAGGTAATAGAAAGCTAAAATGTGGATGCCTGAAGTCAAGCGGAGGTGGGTAATAAATAGAACTGAGGACAAAGAGTGTGAGGCAAGATTATCAAACTGGTCAACCACGTGAGGACTAATTTCATGGAGCATGAAGGCAGTGATGAAGAGGGAGACTGTGAACCAGGTATGAAGTTATTGTTGAATCAGTGGAAGATAAAAAATAGAAGAAAAAAGGGAGGCGATAAATGGATCACGTGAGTCCCAAAGGAAGATTTAGCAACATTTAAGACATTCTGCTAGACTCAAGAAGACTGCCTAGGGAATTCACTGTGAGTGGATATGGTACATGGATTCAGTATTCATCCTTTTTATTAGCAAATTAAGCTACAGTGTATCATATTTACCAATTTACCGTAACCCAACCTAACCTAAGCTGGTACCTTAATTAAATGGACTTTTGCTTCTTTCAACTATTCTGTTTGGATGAGAGCAAAATACAATAAAATAAGTTAATATTAGGGGATTAATAAAAATGCCAACTTGTTGGTCATTTATGGTTGGAGATATATTCATGCTAGTGTCCTATATCTTCTCTATTTTCTTCTTTAAGATGACACAATAAGAAATGATATTTGAAGGAAAGACAGAGGAATTGAGATAGCATGGCCAGCTATCTGTTGTAAAAGACCTAATGCAACCATTAAAAATGGAGTATAGGCCGAGGCGGGCGGATCATGAGGTTAAGATCGAGACCATCCTGGCTAACACAGTGAAACCCCGTCTCCACTAAAAATACAAAAAATTAGACGGGCGCAATGGCGGGCGCAATGGCGGGCGCCTGTAGTCCCAGCTACTCGGGAGGCTGAAGCAGGAGAATGGCGTGAACCCGGGAGGCGGAGCTTGCAGTGAGCCGAGATCGCGCCACTGTACTCCAGCCTGGGCGACAGAGAGAGACTCTGTCTCAAAAAAAAAAAAAAAAAAAAAAAAGAAAGAAAGAAAAGAAAAAAATGGAGTATAATACATAAAGTTCAGATATTTGGAAAGAAGTGTGTTGAGTTTCAAATCACTGACAAAAACTAAAAATAAGAAGAAGTATGATTTTTAGTTTACCTATAATGTGGCTATTTGCTCAGAAAAAAATCTAGGTACTTACTAAATAAATATTTGCTCTTTTTGAGATATATATCTTATTCCCATGAAGATCTGAAAATTTTTTTTCTCTAATTTTAATGGAACTCTCAGGTCTCAGAATAAGCAAAACAGAAAGAGAATGTTGGTAATTTTGGTCAATTTTAAAACAGGATAATTGAAGGAGTGGAAACTTTTATAAAACAACTTTATAGCTATAATTTTCTCATTGTAGCTATAACTCTGTAGGTTTTGACTGTGGGCAATTAAAATGAGTAGGCCAATTTTAAGGATATATTTCCACTATTCTCTGGAGAGGATGAGCAAGCTACTGACACATTCATCATGCACTGGGATGAAAGCACTAGTTCGGCCAAGTATGAGATTGGTTGATTGTAGAGACAAAAGCTACAGACAATGTTATAATGTACAAAATACAATAAAAATTACTTGTGGGAGAAGATGGAGAAATATCTCGATTCTGGTGTGCTTGCTATAAATGAGGTTCCTAAATGTAGAAACTTGTCTGGTGCCTGTAATTGCTTCATTCAGTAATACTGTACCTGTCTGACACCTGCTCGCCTTCCTTTCCATTTGTTTTCTCTATTCTTTTTTTCCCTTCTTCCATTTTTTAATTGAATAATTATATTTTAGGTACTAAGCACACACCAGGGACAATTTGATGCTGTGAATAAATAGGTAAAACATATTCTCCATTCTTAAGGAACCTACATTCTATTGGGGTGAAAATTAAGACAAACAGATATCTAAGATGAGACAAATAACATTACTAAATAGCAAGGTAGTGCTGGATTATTTCAGAGGCCAATTTTAGTTTATGTTTAGGGTCTTGGCAAAGCAGAGGGAACCCTCCCACCCCATCCCCCAGAAAAATAAAATTTGCTTTTGATAAACTTTTCTAGAATTTAGCAATTGAAAAAAAGTTAAACAGAACCTTGATTTTTTAAAAAAACGTTCAATATAGATACCACATTTAACATTCAAAATAAGATTGTACTTTGAGTTAGATATATGGTGTGGTCTCCAAAGTTCCCAGCCTAGCACTGCTTACGGGCAGACTGAACAGCAGATACACTATCAGGACAGCATATATGCCTTCAGAGAGGAATGCAGCTCTTCCTCTCGAGATGTCTTCCTCTGACTCAGTGTCCTGTCTTAAAATGTCATGGTGCATTGATGAAGAAGAGTGAGAGTCAGAGAGAGAGATGTCACCCACAGAAAAACTTCATATCAAATTCCGTTCATGCTCTTTATTCATTGACACAGGGATATACATTTCTGAAAACTCTATAGAGCACAATAAAAAAGAGCAGGTGAGTTTATTTTAGAACCCACCGTGAACTGCTGTTGATAAACTGGATGAGTAGCAAAATCCCAGGCAAAACTCAGCTAGGAGGGCTTCTCCATTTTACTACTCTCTACCCACCATACCCTCGATCCTACCACATCTCCAATTTAGTCTCTTCTTTTTTTTCTTTTTTTCTTTTATTAAATCAGAATATCTTTATCATTATTTTTCTTTGGAAAATAGAATCCCAAGGATATGTTACTCTGATTCAGCAGATTAGTTACCTTGGTGATGTCACTTTTATGTTACATCTTCATAAAGGAACTGCATTTGGATGTTAGCTTATCTTCTGTTGAAAAATAAGTGTGATCAGAGCAAGCGTTTTGGTATTTCCGAGAATACTTACAAAAACCCCAATTTTTATAAGCCTTTAAAAAAAGATGTTCTAAGTCCTGAGTGACCTACAAAGAGACTTAGACTCCCACACATTAATAATGGGAGACTTTAACACCCCACTGTCAACATTAGACAGATCAACGAGACAGAAAGTCAACAAGGATACCCAGGAATTGAACTCAGCTCTGCACCAAGCGGACCTAATAGACATCTACAGAACTCTCCACCCCAAATCAACAGAATATACATTTTTTTCAGCACCACACCACACCTATTCCAAAATTGACCACATAGTTGGAAGTAAAGCTCTCCTCAGCAAATGTAAAATAACAGAAATTATAACAAACTATCTCACAGACCACAGTGCAATCAAACTAGAACTCAGGATTAAGAATCTCACTCAAAGCCGCTCAACTACATGGAAACTGAACAACCTGCTCCTGAATGACTACTGGGTACATAACGAAATGAAGGCAGAAATAAAGATGTTCTTTGAAACCAACGAGAACAAAGACACAACATACCAGAATCTCTGGGACGCATTCAAAGCAGTGTGTAGAGGGAAATTTATAGCACTAAATGCCCACAAGAGAAAGCAGGAAAGATCCAAAATTGACACCCTAACATCACAATTAAAAGAACTAGAAAAGCAAGAGCAAACACATTCAAAAGCTAGCAGAAGGCAAGAAATAACTAAAATCAGAGCAGAACTGAAGGAAATAGAGACACAAAAAACCCTTCAAAAAATCAATGAATCCAGGAGCTGGTTTTTTGAAAGCATCAACAAAATTGATAGACCGCTAGCAAGACTAATAAAGAAAAAAAGAGAGAAGAATCAAATAGACACAATAAAAAATGATAAAGGGGATATCACCACCGATCCCACAGAAATACAAACTACCATCAGAGAATACTACAAACACCTCTACGCAAATAAACTAGAAAATCTAGAAGAAATGGATAAATTCCTCGACACATACACTCTCCCAAGACTAAACCAGGAAGAAGTTGAATCTCTGAATAGACCAATAACAGGAGCTGAAATTGTGGCAATAATCAATAGTTTACCAACCAAAAAGAGTCCAGGACCAGATGGTTTCACAGCCGAATTCTACCAGAGGTACAAGGAGGAACTGGTACCATTCCTTCTGAAACTATTCCAATCAATAGAAAAAGAGGGAATCCTCCCTAACTCATTTTATGAGGCCAGCATCATTCTGATACCAAAGCCGGGCAGAGACACAACCAAAAAAGAGAATTTTAGACCAATATCCTTGATGAACATTGATGCAAAAATCCTCAATAAAATACTGGCAAACCGAATCCAGCAGCACATCAAAAAGCTTATCCACCATGATCAAGTGGGCTTCATCCCTGGGATGCAAGGCTGGTTCAATATACGCAAATCAATAAATGTAATCCAGCATATAAACAGAGCCAAAGACAAAAACCACATGATTATGTCAGTAGATGCAGAAAAAGCCTTTGACAAAATTCAACAACGCTTCATGCTAAAAACTCTCAATAAATTAGGTATTGATGGGACGTATTTCAAAATAATAAGAGCTATCTATGACAAACCCACAGCCAATATCATACTGAATGGGCAAAAACTGGAAGCATTCCCTTTGAAAACTGGCACAAGACAGGGATGCCCTCTCTCACCACTCCTATTCAACATAGTGTTGGAAGTTCTGGCCAGGGCAATCAGGCAGGAGAAGGAAATAAAGGGTATTCAATTAGGAAAAGAGGAAGTCAAATTGTCCCTGTTTGCAGACGACATGATTGTTTATCTAGAAAACCCCATGGTCTCAGCCCAAAATCTCCTTAAGCTGATAAGCAACTTCAGCAAAGTCTCAGGATACAAAATCAATGTACAAAAATCACAAGCATTCCTATACACCAACAACAGACAAACAGAGAGCCAAATCATGAGTGAACTCCCATTCACAATTGCTTCAAAGAGAATAAAATACCTAGGAATCCAACTTACAAGGGATGTGAAGGACCTCTTCAAGGAGAACTACAAACCACTGCTCAAGGAAATAAAAGAGGACACAAACAAATGGAAGAACATTCCATGCTCATGGGTAGGAAGAATCAATATCGTGAAAATGGCCATACTGCCCAAGGTAATTTACAGATTCAATGCCATCCCCATCAAGCTACCAATGACTTTCTTCACAGAATTGGAAAAAACTACTTTAAAGTTCATATGGAACCAAAAAAGAGCCCGCATCGCCAAGTCAATCCTAAGCCAAAAGAACAAAGCTGGAGGCATCACCCTACCTGACTTCAAACTATACTACAAGGCTACAGTAACCAAAACAGCATGGTACTGGTACCAAAACAGAGATATAGATCAATGGAACAGAACAGAGCCCTCGGAAATAACGCCGCATACCTACAACTATCTGATCTTTGACAAACCTGAGAAAAACAAGCAATGGGGAAAGGATTCCCTATTTAATAAATGGTGCTGGGAAAACTGGCTAGCCATATGTAGAAAGCTGAAACTGGATCCCTTCCTTACACCTTATACAAAAATCAATTCAAGATGGATTAAAGATTTAAACGTTAGACCTAAAACCATAAAAACCCTAGAAGAAAACCAAGGCATTACCATTCAGGACATAGGCGTGGGCAAGGACTTCATGTCCAAAACACCAAAAGCAATGGCAACCAAAGCCAAAATTGACAAATGGGATCTAATTAAACTAAAGAACTTCTGCACAGCAAAAGAAACTACCATCAGAGTGAACAGGCAACCTACAACATGGGAGAAAATTTTCGCAACCTACTCATCTGACAAAGGGCTAATATCCAGAAGCTACAATGAACTCAAACAAATTTACAAGAAAAAAACAACCCCATCAAAAAGTGGGTGAAGGACATGAACAGACACTTCTCAAAAGAAGACTTTTATGCAGCCAAAAAACACATGAAAAAATGCTCATCATCACTGGCCATCAGAGAAATGCAAATCAAAACCACTATGAGATATCATCTCACACCAGTTAGAATGGCAATCATTAAAAAGTCAGGAAACGACAGGTGCTGGAGAGGATGTGGAGAAATAGGAACACTTTTACACTGTTGGTGGGACTGTCAACTAGTTCAACCATTGTGGAAGTCAGTGTGGCGATTCCTCAGGGATCTAGAACTAGAAATACCATTTGACCCAGCCATCCCATTACTGGGTATATACCCAAATGACTATAAATCATGCTGCTATAAAGACACATGCACATGTATGTTTATTGCGGCATTATTCACAATAGCAAAGACTTGGAACCAACCCAAATGTCCAACAATGATAGACTGGATTAAGAAAATGTGGCACATATACACCATGGAATACTATGCAGCCATAAAAAATGATGAGTTCATGTCCTTTGTAGGGACATGGATGAAATTGGAAACCATCATTCTCAGTAAACTATCGCAAGAACAAAAAACCAAACACCGCATATTCTCACTCATAGGTGGGGATTGAACAATGAGATCACATGGACACAGGAAGGGGAATATCACACTCTGGGGACTGTGGTGGGGAGGGAGGAGGGGGGAGGGATAGCATTGGTAGATATACCTAATGCTAGATGACGAGTTAGTGGGTGCAGCGCACCAGCATGGCACATGTATACATATGTAACTAACCTGCACAATGTGCACATGTACCCTAAAATTTAAAGTATAATTAAAAAAATAAATAAAATAAAATAAAATAAAATAAAATAAAAACGATGTTCTATTTAACATTGAGAATGGAGATTGCAATCCTGCCTCAGTGATTTTAAGAATCAGCATCAGTTTTAGGCTTCTAATGTGGGAACAAATATCTTTTGTGATGGACAATTCCTTCACTTCTCTGAGTTGCTCCCTGAAGTTTTATTTTAGTGAGAAAATTATTGGCTAGTTGGTTCAAAGCAACACTTTAACTGCATGATTGAGCTTACTTCATCCCAGCTATGATTTCAACTGTTACAACATTGGCTGCAGAGGAAAAATAATAGTTTTCTCCTAGAGTCAATCTGTCATGTCCCCTGGCTGTGTTGTAGCTCATGACCACTGGTGAAATTAATCAGTCTGGCTCTTTGAGAACGTGTTTCCTTGACAGTAGTACATTGTTAAGGAAGCATTGTCCATGACTTCTTTACAACATGACTAGATTTTCAGAAACTATGTGGTTTACTTTTTTTTACTTTCTTTGCCATTTTCTTGATTCCATAATAAATAAGTTTAAAGAGAGTCAGGGAATGCTAGATGACTCCTCTATGAAATTGAGATGTAATTTAATTAAATTTTCAGAGATAAGTTGATTCCTCACTTCAAAGTTGGATAGATGTTGCCTCCTTCTAAAATTTTTTCACTCTAAAATTCTCTAGGCTTTCAGTAAATATTAACAGCAAAAGCATAGTTCAGCGGGAATAAGAGTTATTTTTATGAGATGCTTAATTTGAGGATGTAGAATTGCCTTCTGTTAATGTTGTTTAAAATAGAATAGAGTAAGTCTGTCTGGGATGTTTTAAGACCTCTGAATGAGTACTTAAGATGACCACAAATACAGTATAAGGACTACTTTAAAACCAGCCACTTGCCTCTGTGATTACTGGAGAGAAATGTTCATTTCAAAACCCTTTCTTGCCCAAGACAAACAGATTTATTTAATCAATGATCATAGCTCCTTGGATGTCATAAACTTCCTGAAAAGTTTGTAAAGATCGGCATTCCTATGAGTCTAGCTGGACTATTCACTATGACAAGACCTTAAAATGTTTTTTAGTCCATCATCCTCTTTTAGACAAAGGCAAAGTATGAGACATAGTCATCAGATATTATTTCTAGATACTCTATTTTTGGGCACTTGTGTCCATCCTTACTTCATATGATTTCCCCCCTTTTTAGACATGAGGCTTTTTGTAGTTCAGTGACTTAGCATTTTTATTTCCCATTCTCAGGATGGTTCTGTCAAATGCAGACTCCATAGTCAGAAATGTGGTTTGTTTTGGTATCATTGTATAATTATGAAGTTTCTTTGGTTTGCTCTCATAGGTATAAGCATCTTGACTGCAGTTGTCATTAGGGGGCCCACCTGGCCTAGAAGTATATTTTCAAAATATTTGAAAAGAGTATTTAATATGGGATTTGATACAATAAAAATGTATTCACCTTTTGTTGGCAGTGGTCAAACCCACTATCTGGACCAAAAAACTATATCCCATGTACTGATCATTACTGTAGATTGTATGTGCAGATAGACCTGGTTCTGACTGACCCCAAATCACTTCCAAACCGTATTTTCTCCTGCCTTCTTACATTATAGAGGCTGGAAAGATTTTTTAAAGTTCTCTTTCCAGCTTCCTTTGACAAAAGGGGTGACATAGTTCTACCCAAGTGGAAGTCTGCTGGCATAGCATCTGAGAAAATGTCTCTTTCCAAATTAACAGGGACAATTTGGTGGGCACAGGTCCACCCCTACTTGTTTTAGCAGCTAATGGGGATGTGATGCTTAGAATTACAGCAACCGCCTTGTGATGATGAAGGAATCTGCACAGGAGAATCATAGACACTGGCCTTACATAACTGAGCCACTAAACCAATGCTAGCAGCCACCCACCTCCAGATGTCTTTTGAAGCAATAAAAATAAGCTCCTATTTATTTTAGCCACTGTTAGGTTTCATTATATGCATCTGAAAGCATATGGTGTGTGTGTGTGTGTGTATGCATGTATGTATAATAAAATTCTGGCTTTAGCCGTTAGTTTCTCCTCACAAGGGAACTGACAGAAGCCAGAGGTTGATATGGCCAAGGGAATTTACTTGGGCCTATTTAGATTTCTTCTCCTTTATTATTTTGGTTTGCTGATTTAGATTAGTTCTATATTTTCCTGTGCTAAATTATACTTTTAAAAAGTATTTCAGAGCCTTCTAAGTCTTTCTGAATTTGTTCAGAACTTAGATTTCCAATAGTGCCTTTATTGATAGCACATCTTTATTCTCACCATTATAATACTCAGATTTATGGTTTGTTCTCCTTTGAAATATTTAATAAGATTGCAGTTCAGCAGCTCTTTATTACAGAAATAATGATATTACTGCTCTTTGGTGTTTTCAGTCTGTTTCTCTTTGCCTCAGTCTACAGGAGTAAATCTTTCTGGTTAACCCTGCATTGTGTTAGAAGGAGATCGTATATCCCGATTCTCAGTTTAGGTGGGCAAGAAGAGTTGTTCTGTGGAGTCTGACTTGAGAAAGATTCTTCTTTGATGAAGCATGAGCTCTATAAAACTTCCTTGTGGTATCATAAAAAACCTTTTCTGGCTGTAGCCATTTGAGATTTAACTATTTCATCATTTAATGTCTACTAACTTCTAGGCTGCCTTCTCATAAAATTCCCAGTGCCTATAATATGCATATGGTAGGTGCCTAGTAAAGGTATATTGTTTAAATGTTGAATGATGAATTGAGATTTTAAAAAAACTAATTACTGAGTTATCTTGATAAGTTTTCTTGACTGTTGGTTAGAATACAGTTTGTATCTCACACGAGATTGTGAGCTGGCTTTACAAAAGATGTTAACAAACGAATTTAACATTTTAATTTAAACAACCAGCAATTTTCAAATAATCTCTCTAAACTGATTGTGAAACACAAGCTTTAAAAATTAGAAAAAAACCAATGACACACTGAGAAATTATATGGCTGTCAAAAAGTAACCACAGGGTTTCACAAAAATCAGGATCTCATAAACACCATATGGCGATTGAGTACTTCTTTGCGCTTTTTGCTTCTGGCCTGAGACAGAGAAATGCAAAAACCAAAGAAACACAGCTTTGACTCTTTATTTAGCTCTGTTAACCCTACAGAGATCATGTTGGCTGAGGGGAAGAAAAGTGTCCAGCTACTTGATATATGACAACAAAAAATTAGAAGGACCTTTGAGATTGGCCAAGCCTGACATCCTGAAAATTGTCTCTTTTAAATTTTTTGAAGGATGTTATCACTTGGAACTTTTTGCCATTAACCTACATTCCCAACACTTCCATAGTTCGATGCTGCTGACCATGTTTTTCCCAGTCCCTAGAATGCCTTTTCTCTATTATAAATCTCCTAGTCATCTTTCAAGACCCAAATAAAATGTCACCTCTACTGTGAAGCACTCATCAAGTCCTCCAAACCATCTTAGAAATTCCATTTTCTGTATTGTCAGATCACCTACACAACACACACACACACACAACTACACACACAGTGTTTATCTATTATAGCACCATCACCTATTATGGTAATTTGTTGATTTATGTGTCTTTCTCCCTTCTAGACCTTAATTCTATGAGAGTAGGGGCTGTGACTCATTTATCTGACTAAATCATGGCCTAACGATGCCTCAGACAGAGTAAGTGCTCAATAAATCTTTGTCCAATTAATGAATCTCCTGGAGAGGAAAAAACTCAGCAG
The DNA here is from genome assembly GCF_000001405.40 of Homo sapiens. Taxonomy (NCBI): domain Eukaryota; kingdom Metazoa; phylum Chordata; class Mammalia; order Primates; family Hominidae; genus Homo; species Homo sapiens. Next base: position 86,247,430 of record NC_000004.12, on the reverse strand, counting down.
TAAAGATTCAATGGGAGTTAACAAAAATGTATATTAACAGGACCTGGGATCAGGGCAGGGAGAAAACATGAGTTAGATTAAACAATGATTGTTAACTATTTAGGATTTGTAAATATGGTGCTCAATTATACCAGTATTTCTCAGGATGCTTTTGAGTAGAAGAAAGTGATACCCTGATTCAAGCTGGCTTAAACAATGAGAGAACATAGAGGAAAATACAGAGACAGAGACAGAGCAGGCTGAGGGTATAGTACAATAGAGGCTTCGCTTTCTCATCTTAATGATTATTTTGGTTCTTCCCTCTTCCTTCTTTACTTTAAGCTGGCTTCCTTCATGGTTGGCAGTTGGTTGACGGTTGGCAGAATTGGCAATTAACATGCATCCTTATTCTCTCTGGCTGAAGCTGAGTAAACCTACCCTCCCACCAAGGAGTAAAGATTCTTACCTTTAGTCTGATTGGTCCAACTTAGGTTGCACACTACCCTGGAGCATCACGGGATGTTGAGGAATACCATTTAGTACTTGGTAGGTTGGTTGGGATGATATGATTGGCTACTAATCAAGAGACCCTCCTGAAGTTGTAGGGAATTAACTTCCTATGCCAGACTGGCTGTGTGTGGGAGGAGTAGCGTGGTGACCAGCAGACTCTAGTGTCCCACTGCCTGCATTCCAGTCCCACCTCTTCTGTTCACCTGCTCTGTGAGTTCAGGCAAGCTGACTCTCGGTTTCTTCATCTGTAGTGGAGGTGGTAACAGGACCTACCTCATGATATTACTCTGAGGTTTAAGTGAGTTATTAGATGTAAACTACTAAGAACACATGGTAAGCACCATGGAAGTGTTTGTTAGTTTTCCCTTCTTAATGATTTAACCAAAATTGGCGTTGTGTTAAAAGGGCAACAGCAGGGAATACATTCAATTTAAGCAACAAAAATGTTCATTATATAAGTTTTTGTTTTATTTAACAACTTGATGTTGTTGTTGTTGTTGCTGTTGTTGTTGAGATGGAGTCTTGCTCTGCTGCCCAGGCTGGAGTGCAGTGGCGCAATCTTGGCTCACTGCAAGCTCCGCCTCATGGGTTCACACCATTCTCCTCCCTCAGCCTCCCGAGTAGCTGGGACCACAGGTACCCACCACCATGCCTGGCTAATTTTTTGTGTTTTTAGTGGAGACAGGATTTCACCTTGTTAGCCAGGATAGTCTCGATCTCCTGACCTCGTGATCTGTCCACCTCGGCCTCCCAAAGTGCTGGGATTACAGGCGTGAGCCACCGCGCCTGGCCCAACAACTTGACTTTTAAGGTTATTTAATTTATTTTTGAATGTTTATTTCTTTGTAATGATGAGTTTCAATTTTTAAATGAAAGGATAAATGGAAGGATAATAGCATAGAAAAACATGTGATTAACTGTCTATTAATCATGTCTGGAAAGTAAGAAACATTATTTGCCTATTTATTCTAAGAGTGTTTATTATGCCAACCTGATGGCCATATAAACCAATTACAGATAAAGTATTTAAAAATAATTTTGAGTAATATATTTTGGGGTTTAATTAGATTTTTAAACATCATCTACTTTACCCTTTCATTTTGCATATCAGAAAACTGGACCAGAAGGAATTAAGTAAACTTTCCCCAAATTGTACAGTTGGTGGCAGAACTGGTTTTAGAGGCATTTTAAACTTCAATCAAATATTTTTTTACTGGCCCATGTAACATTCCTCTTGAGTGGTAGACCCACAAGGCCTAAATAACTAAAGATAGAGATATGTTCTCCTTATTAAGAATTGGCACTGTGGGCCTGCCACAGTGGCTTACACCTAAAATCCCACCGCTTTGTGGGGCCAAGACAGGAGGATGGCTTGAGCCCAGGAGTTTGAGACCAGCCTGGGCAATATAGTGAGAACTTATCTCTATTAAAAATTTTAAAATTAATTTTAATTAAAAATTTTAATCAAAAGGTGTGATGGCGTGCATCTGTAGTCCCAACTACTCAGGAGGCTAAGGTGGGAGGATCACTTGAGCCTGGAAGGCAGAGGCTGCAGTGAGCTGTGATCACATCATTGCACTCCAGTCTGGGCAACAGAGTGAGAGCCTGTCTCAAAAAAAAAAAAAAAAAATTGGCACTTGTGCTAGTGTGTGTTTTGTAATTTGTGGTATAGAACCATGTATACAGTTGGGCTCAGCAAATGAATGTTTTCAAAGCACTCGAATATAAGCTGTCTAAAGAGCTCTTATAGTTAGTGTTATGACATGTACAGGACTAAAAGAGACAGGCTACCCAGGTACTGAATATGACTTAAGTCATATTTTCCAGGAACATGGTTACAAATACTAGCTCAAAATTTTAGATGTATGAAATGAAATAGAATGTTGAGCAGATTTCCTGGAGATAGCTATATTAATGTTTATAAGAAGGAGAAAAATGCATATCTAGACCACATATTGGATAAAATTCCCAAATGTTAGATACTGCAAAGTGTAACATAGGAAATATTGTGTCAATGCTGAAGGATGGGGAAGCAATCTAGAGCCTTCCAAATTTCACAGTAGAGTTTTAAAAAGAAAATTTCTCAGACTCAAAGAGATCACATGATGCAATTCAAAATAAAAAATGTGAGAATACTTAATAAGAAGCTCAGCCCTTTCATTATCCAGCCTAGAGCTGGTTTTTAAATTGGTTGCTAACATTTTATGGCCTTACCAACATGTCTTCTAGGAATCACAAAATGCACGTACACACTTTATGCTACACTTTATGGGCCCTTTCTGATGTTCACTGGAAGCATCATAAGCCACTTTACAATTCCTACAGGAGCCTGTTTTCATTAGGGTGGCTTCTCAGCTGGCAGTTCACTTATTCATGCTGAAGGATGCTATTATTAAGAACTGTTTTGAACTGAAACACTAGAACTCGACCTTCATTTGATGCATCATTAAATAGAGACATAAGATCAAGTAAGTGTTAGTGAGCAGTGATATATTTTAAAATCTATTTTAAAAATTGCAGGCATCTCAAATGCAAGAAACTTTACCTTTCATATCTTTACTGTTGCATAAATTTTGCAAAATTTAGTTAATTCTTTGGTTTCATGTTATTAATAAAAAATGATCTTGTATGAATAAGGTATAATTTCACAAATTATGAGGTATAAAATGGTTGATTTTTTTTGAGTGTTTTCGTAAGTGCCTAAACACTACTTTTCTTTTTCCTACAGACTTTGTCTCTCCTCCTTTTTATGCTTTTTCAGTTGTAATCTAAGAGCTATAAAAACATCTAGAAAGGTGTACATGCCTTTGCAGCACTGTGGATGTGCCAATGTCAGCCTCTACTTATGTGACTCTTGAAACAATGCTTCTATTTGAGCTTCTTTCCTGTGCTCCAGCACTAATCATTCAGCAAGTATTTATTGAGTTGCTATTGTGTGCCACTTAGTGTTACTCAAAATGAAACTCGAGCCATTTGTAATGGTTTTGACTAGTAAAGAGTCACAATCTGACATTTTAACAAGGTTCCTCTGGTAGTCATGTGTAGTCATGAAACTTACATTCTAGTGGTTGGGGAGGAGCTCGGGAGGTAAGCAAGAACAATAAACAAACAAATAAAGTTAAGTGTACTTTTACAGAGAACAGTGCTAGCTATCGACAAACTAAAGCAGGAAAGAGAGATTCAGACTACTAGGATTGGGGGAGGGGGTGGGAGGTGGGGAGAAGTTTTAAATAGGATGGTCAAGGAAGACACCACTGAAAATATGATTAAGCCCTGAAGCAAGTCAGGGCAGGAAACACATGGGAATCTGGGAGAAGAGAGGTTCAGGCTGAGGAAAGGGCATGTTCAAGGGCCCAGAAGTGGGAGCATGCTTTTATCAGAGGCTGTGTGCAAGCCTGGCTAGAGTGTAATGAGTGAGGTGAGGAAGAGGAGAGAACAAGTTCTGAGAGGTCGCTAGATTGTAAAAACCTATCAGGCCATTGTGAGGGCTTTGGATTTCACTCAGAATGAGACTGAAGCCATTTGCGGTTTTGACCAGTGAAGAGACACAATCTGGTGTTTTAACAAGATTCCTCTGGTAGTCATATGTAGTAGAATAGACCAATGTGTGTGATTAATGACTAAGTATCTCCACAATTAAGGCTTCTAGGCACCTCAAACTCAACATCTGATGTATCCAAAATAGAAACTATCATCTGAGTGGGGCCAAGATGGCTTACTAGAAGCAGCTGAGTTGGGAGGCTCCCATGGAAAAAAAAACATAATAAACGTATGAATCCTTCACTGGCAACCAAGGTATCCAGTTTCTCTCATCAAAATTGACTAGAAATCTGGCGTGAGCCATGGAGAGAAGGAAGACCCACACGGGGAAGGGGACCCCCCTCCCGCCAGCCAAGGGAGGCAGTGAGTGAGCGCGCTACCCAGCTGGGAAAACTGTGCTTTTCCCACGGAACTGTGCAACCCAATGATCGGAAGATCCCACTCGCAAACCCATGCCACCGGGGCCTAGCGTCCCAACCCCAGAATGCGCAGATTCTTCGGCTAGAATCTGCTTAAGCCTATCGAACTTCCGGGGGAGGGGCATCCAGCACCTGCCACTGCCTGTTGTCTAAGCATTTGAGCTCCTTTGGGGAGGGGCAGCAGCCATCACTGGGACTCGAAACTGCCTAACATGCTAAGCTCTCTGGGCAGGGGAAGAGCAGCACCTACTTCTGTAGCTCCAAGCTGCGCTTCTCCCCTGCTAGAGCCAGGGAGGCTGGATGGCTTGGTCCCAAGACTTGTCCCCACAGCCCAACACACTGGCTGTGGCAGTCAGGGCCTACAGTGGCTCTTCAGGTCTAACCCTGACCCATCCTTCCTCAGTGGGCGGATCTTCCCTGCAGGATCTCCAATAATTCCAGCCAGAGGCTCAGGGACAGAATTTGGATCTCCCTGGGCCTGAGCCCCTAGCGGGAGGGGCGGCTGCAGTCTCTGCAGCAGACTTAGCCTCTCCTTCTGGTAGTTCTGAGGAATCTGGGCAGCCCAGACAAGTGGGTTTCCCTCAGCAAAGCACACCCTCTCCATCAAGGGACAAAGAGCTTCATTAAATGGGTCCTGCTCCCCGTGCCGCCCAACTGGGTGAGACCCTCCAACAGGGGTTGTCAGACACTCTATATGGGAGCAATTCTACTGGCATCAGGTTGGTGCCTCTCGAGGTCAGAGGTCCCAGAGGAAGGAGTAGGCACCCATCTTTGCTGTTCTCCAGCCTCCTTGAATGACATCTCCAGGCATTGGAACAAATCAGATGAATAGGGCCTGAAGTGAACCCCCAGCAAACTGCAGGAGCCCTATAGAAGAGGGACCTGATTATTGAAGGAAAAACAAACAAGCAGAAAGCGACAATAACAACACCACCACCACCACCAACAACAACAAAAAAGACCCCCACAAAAACCCCATCCAAGGGTAGCAGCTTCAAGGACCAAAACTAGACAAACTCACGAGGATGAGAAAGAATCAACAACAACAAAAAATGCTGAAAACCCAAAAGACCAGAGTGCCTCTTCTCTAAATGATCGCAACATCTCTCCATCAAAGGTGAAGAACTAGACAGAGGATCAGATGGAGGAATTGACAGAAGTAGCCTTCAGAAGATGGGTAATGAAAAACTATGCTGAGCTGAAGGAGCATATTCTAACCCAATGCAAAGAAGCCAAGAACCTTGATAAAAGGTTAGAGGAATTGCTAATTAGAATAACCAGTTTAGAGGGGAACATAAACAACCAGATGGAGTTGAAAAACACAACAGGAGAACTTCATGATGCATACGCAAGTATCAACAGCTGAATCAACCAAGTGGAAGAAAGGATATCAGAGTTTGAGGACCACCTTACTGAAATAAGACATGCAGACAAGAATAGAGAGAAAAGAATGAAAGGAATGAACAAAGCCTCCAAGAAATATGGGACTTCATAAAAAGACCAAAGCTACAATTGATTGGAGTACAAGAAGGAGACGGGGAGAATGGAAACAAGCTGGAAAACACACTTCAGGATATTATCCAGGAGAACTTCCCCAACCTAGCAAGACAGACCAACATGCAAATTCAGCAAACACCATTAAGATACCCCACGAGAAGATCAACCCCAAGACACATAATCATCAGATTCTCCAAGGTTGAAATGAAGGAAAAACTGTTAAGGGCAGCCAGAGAGAAAGGTCAGGTAACCTACAAAGGGAAGCCCATCAGACTAACAGTGGACCTCTCAGCAGAAACTCTACAAGCCAGAAGATATTGGGGGCCAATATTCAACATTCTTAAAGAAAAGAATTTTCAACCCAGAATTTCATATCCAGCCAAACTAAGCTTCATATGCAATGGAGAAATAAAATCCTTTCCAGACAAGAAAATGCTGAGGGATTTTATTACCACCAGGCCTGCCCTGCAAGAGCTCCTGAAAGAAGCACTAAATATGAAAAGGAAAAACCAGGACAAGCCACTGCAAAAACACACCAAAATATAAAGACCAATGACACTATGAAGAAACTGCAACTGGTGTGTAAAATAACCAAAAAGCATCATAACGATAGTATCAAATTCACATATAACAATACTAACTTTAAATGTAAATGGGCTAAATGCCCCAATTAAAAGATACAGACTGGCAAATTGGATGAGGAGTCAAGACCCATCGGTTTGCTGCATTTAGGAGACCCATCTTACATGCAAAGACACACACAGGCTCCAAATGAAGGGTTGGAGGAATATTTAGCAACAAAATGGAAAAAAATAAAAAGGCACGGGTTGCAATCCTAGTCTTTGACAAAACAGACTTTCAACCAACAAAGATCCAAAAAGACAAAAAAGGGCATTACATAACGATAAAGGGAACAGTTAAGAGGAGCTAACTATTCTAAATATGTATGCACCCAATACAGGAGTACCCACAATTATAAAACAGGAGACCTACAAAGAGACTTAGACTCCCACACAATAATAGTGGGAGACGTTAACACCCCACTGTCAGTATTAGACAGATCGATGAGACAGAAAATTAACAAGGATATTTGGGACGTGAACTCAGCTCTAGACCAAGTGGACCTAGTAGATATCTACAGAGCTCTCTACCCCACATCAACAGAATATACATTCTTCTCACTGCCACATGGCACTTATTCTAAAATCGACCACATAATTGGAAGTAAAACACTCCTCAGCAAGTGCAAAAGAACTGAAATCATAACAAACAGTCTCTCAGACCACAGTGCAATCAAATTAGAACTCAGGTTTAGGAAACTCAATCAAAACCACACAATTTCATGGAAATTTAACAACCTGCTCCGGAATGACTCCTGGATAAATAATAAAATTAAGGCAGAAATCAAGAAGTTCTTTGAAACCAATGAGAACAAAGAGACAACATACCAGAGTCTCTGGGGCACAGCTAAAGCAGTGTTAAGGAAATCTATAGCACTAAATGCCCACATCAGAAAGCTAGAAAGATCTCAGATCAACACCCTAACATCACAATTAAAAGAGCTAGAGAGGCAAGAGCAACTAATCCAACAGCTAGTGGAAGACAAGAAATAACTAACATCAGAGAAGAATTGAAGAAGAGATACAAAAAACCCTCCCAAAACTCAATGAATCCAGGATCTGTTTTTTTTTTTTTTGAAAAAATTAACCAAGTAGGTAGACTGCTGGCTAGACTAATAAAGAAGAAGAGAGAGAAAAATCAAATAGACACAGTAAAAAATGATAAAGAGGATATCGCCACTGACCCCACAGAAATACAAACTATCAACAGAGAATAGTATAAACACCTCTAAGCAAATAAACTAGAAAATCTAGAAGAAACAGATAAATTCCTGGATACATACACCCTCCCAAGACTAAACCAGTAAGAAGCTGAATCCCTGAGCAGACCAATAACAAGCTCTGAAATTGAGGTTGTAATTAACAGCCTACCAACCAAAAAAAAGCCCAGGACCAGACGGATTCACAGCTAAATTCTATCAGAAATACAAAGAGGAGCTGGTACCATTTCTTCTGAAACTATTCCAAACAATTGAAAAGGAGGGACTCTTCCCTAACTCATTTTATGAAGCCAGAATCATCCTGATACCAAAACCTGTAAAAGACACCATCACAACAAAAGAACTTCAGGCCAATATCCCTGATGAACATAGATGCGAAAATCCTCAACAAAATACTGGCAAACTGAATCCAGCAGCACATAAAAAGCTTATCCACCATGATCAAATCTGCTTCAGTGCTGGGATGCAAGGCTGGTTCAACATAGGCAAATCAATACATGTAATCTATCACATAAACAGAACCAAAGACAAAAACCACATGATTATCTCAATAGATGCAGAAAAGGCCTTTAATAAAATTCAACATCCCTTCGGGTTAAAAACTCTCAATAAACTAGATATCTATGGAACATAATCTCAAAATAATAAGAGCTATTTATGACAAACCCATAGCCAATATCATACTGAATGGGCAAAAGCTGGAAGCATTCCCTTTGAAACTGGTATAAGACAAGGATGCCCTGTGTCACCGCTCCTATTCAACATAGTATTTGAAGTTCTGGCCGGGGCAATCTGGCAAGAGAAGTAAATAAAGGACATTAAAATAGGAAGAGAGGAAGTCAAATTGTCTCTGTTTGCAGATGACATGATTTTATATTTAGAAAATCCCATCATCTCAGCCCAAAAACTTCTTGAACTGATACTCAATTTCATCAAAGTCTCAGGATACAAAATCAATGTGCAAAAATCACAAGCATTCCTTTACACCAACAATAGGCAAGCGGAGAGCCAAATCATGAATGAACTCCCATTCACAATCACTACAAAGAGAATAAAATACCTAGAAATACAGCTAACAAGGGATGTGAAGGATATCTTCAAAGAGAACTACAAACCACTGCTCAAGGAAATAAGAGAGGAAACAAACAGAGGAAAAACATTCCATCCTCATGGAAAGGAATAAACAATATCGTGAAAATGGCCATACTGCCCAAAGTAATTTATAGATTCAATGCTATTCCCATCAAACTACCTTTGACATTCTTCACAGAATTAGAAAAAAACTATTTTAAATTTCATATGGAATCAAAGAAGACCCCGTATAGCCAAGACAATCCTAAGCAAAAAGAACAAGGCTGGAGTCATCACGCTACCTGATTTCAAACTATACTACAAGGCTACAGTAACCAAAACAGTATGGTATTGGTACAAAAACAGACATATAGACCAATAGAGCAGAACAGAGACTTCAGAAAATAACACTACACACCTACAACCATCTGATCTTCAACAAACCTGACAAAAACAAGCAATGGGGAAAGGATCTTCTATTCAGTAAATGGTGCTGGGAAAACTGACAAGTCATAGGCAGAAAATTGAAACTGGACCTCTTCCTTACACTTTATACAAAAATTAACTCAAGATGGATTAATGACTTAAATGTAAAACCCAAAACTATAAAAACCCTAGTAGAGAACATAGGCAATACCATTCAGGACATAGGCATGGGCAAAGTCTTCATGACTAAAACACCAAAAGGAATTGCAACAAAAGCAAAAATTAACAAATGAGATCTAGTTGAACTAAAGAGCCTCTGCACAGCAAGATAAACTATCATCAGAGTGAACAGGCAACCACAGAATGGGAGAAAATTTTTGCAATCTACCCATCTGACGAAGGTCTAATATCCAGGTTTTACAAGGAACTTAAACATTTACAATAAAAAAACCATCAAAAAGTGGGCAAAAGATATGAACAGATACTTCTTAAAAGAAGACATTTATGTGGCCAAGAAACATATGAAAAAAAGCTTAACATCACTGAACATCAGAGAAATGCATTTCAAAACCACAATGAGATACCATCTCACAGCAGTCAGAATGGTGATTATTAAAAAGTCAGGAAACAATAGATGCTGGTGAGGCTGTGGAGAAATAGCAACGCTTTTATACTGTTGGTGGGAATGTAAATTAGTTCAATGATTGTGGAAGACAGTACGGAGATTCTTCAAGGATCTAGAACCAGAAATACCATTTGACCCAGCAATCTCATTACTGGGTATATACCCAAAGGAATATAAATCATTCTACTATAAAGACACATGCACACATATGTTTATTGCAGCACTATTTACAATAGCACGGACACAGAACAAACCCAAATGCCCATCAATAATAGACTGGATAAATGTGGTACATATTCACCATGGAATACTATGCAGCCATAAAAGGGAATGAGATCATGTCTTTTGCAGGGACATGGATGAAGCTGGAAGCCATCATCCTCAGCAAACTAACACAGGAACAGAAAACCTGACACAGGAACAGAAAACCAAACACCACGTGTTCTCACTCATAAGTGGGAGCTGATCATGGAGAAAACATGGACACACAGAGGGGAACAACACACACTATGGCCTGTTTGGGGGATGGGGGGTCTAGGGGAGGCAACTTAGAGGATGGGTCAACAGGTGCAGCAAACCACCATGGCACATGTATACCTGTGTAACAAACCTGCACGTTCTGCACATGTACCCCGTTTTTTATTTTTTAGAAAAAATAAAGAACCTATTCTCTTCCACCTCTAGTTTCCTCCTTTTCCTGAAGAAATTTTAGTTGATGATGCTATTATTCATCATTCACCTTCTTCCCTGCTTTTACTCACATCCTTATCTCACCAGGTTCTTACTAAGTCCCTCTTCAACCAGGACCTGCGTTTCCATCTCCAAACTATTTGTTTAGTTCAGACCCTCTCCTTGAACCGTCACAATAGCTTGATGCCTTCATGCCTCTTTTAGTCTTCTGAATCCCTCTAATTCTAGCTAATACATTGTTGTCAAAATATACTTGAAAAATACACATGAGATCATATCACTCTTCTTAAGACCCTTCTGTGGTTTGTTTTGGAACACAGTCTCCTTAACTTGGCATTAATAATGACTTTATAATCTGACCTACGTTTCTATCCAGATTTACCAAAGTGTAGGATTCAGAAGTCTGATTCCTTCTTCCAGTCATATCATTTGTCTCTTGTCCAGTTAGCTAACATCTACTCATCTTTCAGGACATGTGGTAGACTGAATAATGTCTTCCTCACCCTCCTCCCAATTTCCATGTCCTAATTCCTGGAACCTCTGAATATGTTATATTATGTGATAAAAAGAGACTTTGCAGAAGTGATTAAATTAAGAATCTTGGCTTGGGGATATTATCCTGGATTATCTAAGTGGGCCCAATATAATCACAAGGGTCATTATAAGAGGGAGGTAGGAAGGTCAAGATCAACAGGAGACATGAAGACAAAAACAGAGGTCAGAGAGAGAGAGTGTGTTGCAGATGTTACACTTCTGGCTTTGAAGGTGGAGTAAGGGGCCACGGACCAGGAATGCAGGAGACTTCAGATTCTGAAAAAGGCAAGCAAACAGCTTCTCCCTTAGAGCTTCCAAGAGGAACTATCCCTGCCAACCCCTTGACTTTAGCCCAGTGAGACTGATTTTGGACTTTCGATCCCAGGAACTGTGAGATAATCCATTTATATTGTTTGAAGCTACTAAGTTTGCGGTAATTTGTTATAGGAGCAATCCACAACTAATACAAGACATGAATCAAATGTGTTAATTTTTTGAAGCTTCTCCTCAGCACACTGTTCACCTCCACCACAGCTGACTCAGGCGCCCGGTCCCCACAGCTCCTTTTCTGTTCAGCTGTCATCACTTTGTTCACAGTATTGTAACTATTTGCTTGTCTGTGATGCTTGAGGGCTTAGATTTTAACCTCATTTGTCTTTACATTAGCAGTACAATGCTTGGCAAGTAGGAGGTGTTCAGTAAAAGATGAGCGACTTTCTACTATAATGTGATACATGTCAATTATCACAGAACAGAAAGTTTGAAAGCATCTTATTAAATTTATTGAAATATAACATATATACAGGAAAGAGCACAAAGCATAAGCTTGCAGCCTGATGGATTTTCACAAGGTGAGCACACCTGTATGAACCAGCACCCAGATCCGGAGATAGCACTTTATGGGTACCCCACAAGCCCTCTTTGTCCTCTCACCCTTCTAGAGAAGGCTTGACTTCTAACACCCGGGAGCATGTGCAGACAAAGCACACGTTTTGGTAAGAATTAGGAATTTTGACTAAAAACTGAATCTCCCTTTTGATCGAGTAAGAATGAGGATAGGAATGTGTGGGACTCATAAAAGTTCTCTCTTTTGGGGCCTCCATTCCTTCATTTGGAAAATGAGGAGATATTCAGTTCCTTAGTTCACCTCAGTGTATGAGTCTAGGACTTGTTTCTGTGATATATGAGTTAATTTGTGCAAAAAACACAGATGTGATGCTTCAAGTTTCTATATTATTAATTTAAATTATACAAATAATATGATTTATCTAATAATCTAGAAAATGAATGTAGCACAAGGGTAAAGGAGAGATGATCTGGTATGATTTTCTAAAACTCTTCTCTTTTCTCCTAATCCGTTACTGCATGTATTTTAGAAAATGTGTGAGAATATCTGTTTACTTTATCAAGTAAATAAAATGGCAGAAAACTTTCCTTACAAAGAGATGTATTTCCCGAAAGGGTCTTAGAGGTTGTTGATTTAAGTCTAATATTATAAGTTTCCCCTGAATTTAAAACATAGTGTTTCTATACTATTATAAACTTTGAGAACTGAAGGATTAACTCTGGGGTCTTTAAATAAAAATCCATATTAATAAGAAAATTGATGATGGTGATTTTAAATGGAAGATGGTGATTTTAAATGGAAAAAGTTGATTTATTATTCAGTTGCTTGGAGAAGAAAACAAATTCTCTTACTTGTTAATACATTTGTCATTTGTCAGAAGATAAGACATTTATTTTAATATAGTATTTATTATTGAAGAATTTGCCCTAGATATTCACAGATTAGATAAAAGTACCTGAGATATGATAGTAAGAAAGTTAAAGTGAAAACCAAATACCTAATAAGGAAATAGAACAGAAACTGTTTATATTTTAATAAGTAGTATTATGATATTAATTACATCAACTTTAACTCAGAATTTTGAAAATAATCTATTCTGAATTTTGGCATACATTTTTATGAGACAAAATATAATTATTACTCAACAGATGATAACAAAAAGTACTATTTATTAAGTATACAATACATATCAGAATCTTTACATTAATTTTTTTTTGTCTCTATGATGCTGTATATCAACCTCAAAATGGAGATTTTTTTGTTGTTATTGTTGTGTCTTGCATGTAAGGAAATGGAAGTGAGATTAACATCAAAGTCTCTTAGCTAATCCATTCTGAAATCTGTATTTGAGTCTAGAGACTCTGACTTAAAGTTTAATTTTCTTTTCATCACCTCAGGCAGCTTCACTTTGATACATATTATGGTTGATAAGCCCCTCATTTTACACATTCTTCTTGGTTTGAAGAAAAGGCCTTTGGCAATAATCCTTTTCCTTTTCCTCTCACTGCAAGTCCTATCTAGAATCAGTGTCATGTTGGAATGCACAACTCAGAAGGAAGGCACACGCCTTGGGAGACACAATACCATATCCTGGAATTCTAAGCATCTTTTTTGGATTCCTGTAATGACTACCACAAAGATTGGCAAGTTTGGAAAATTAGAACAAAGCAAAGTGGTTAGACAAATCTGCTGTTGCTCTGCAAGGTGCCTAGTGAAGACAGGTGCTGACTCAAATGAGTGAGAAACACCTCCTCACAGTCTGCTGTCCTAGGTGGTATCTTTCTACTTCTGCTCACACTCGGAGGCTATGGATTACCTTGGAAATCCATCACCAAAATGTTGGTCAGGAGAAATCTAGCCTATCCGACCTGCTTGGATAACACCACATATTTTAAAGGAAAGATTGCCAAGCACTTGCTTGGCACCACTGGGTTAGCTTTCAAAGGAAGCTCCTTGGGGGAGGGAGGTTAATGCCTGGGGAGAAGTAAAATAGCTGAGAAAAGCCCATTTAGCCGAGTCTTTGTGGCAGTCAGTCAGAGAGTTTATATTTTTCACTTGATTGTTTTTAAACTAGCTTTTCTCCATACTATGGTTTCTGATTATTTTTGTAAGTAGGCCTCACAGAGCCATCATTTATTCTGACGTCACTGAATACTTAGATTATGTAGATGGATTTCTGTGTAACCCAAACTAGATAAATGTATGTTTTTGATCTTTGGGTCTGTATTTTTGGTTCTTTGTCTATATTTGACTATAAGCAAAGAGAGTGGCTATGATTCTACTTTTTGCACCTTCTGTGATGCCAAGAGCTTTTTTGTTTCTGACATACGACCCTGGGCAAGACATCTAAACTCTTTGGATCTCATCTTCGAAATGGAAATAGTCACTGCTTCATATATTTTATCAAAAAGCTTGTATTACATGAAAACTCTTGGAACACCAAGAAGGTCTTGGAGGCTTGCAGACACAAGCAGTCGCCCCTTCCACCCTGCCTGGCCTGTCATGCAGTCTTCACTCCAGCACAGACCATGACATACCTCCATACCTTTCTTCATGCTCTTGCCCTTGACTCGTATGTTTTATTACCAACAACAAAGCATATAGAAGTTAAGAAAAATTAAATAGAAGAGGAAGAGAAAGGGAACTTAGATTTCATGTCTTACTAGGTATTCCCTGAGAGACATTCTTAAAGGATCTACAAGAGTGGGTCAGTGGTTTGATTGAGCTAAATGTTTGAATTTGGTTAAACATAAAAATACATACAGAAAAAATTGACTCTAGGCCGGGCGTGGTGGCTCACGCCTGTAATCCCAGCACTTTGGGAGGCCCAGGCAGGCGGATCACGAGGTCAGGAGATGAAGACCATCCTGGCTAAGATGGTGAAACCCTGTCTCTACTAAAAATACAAAAAATTAGCTGGGCGTGGTGGTGAGCACCTGTAGTCCCAGCTACTTGGGAGGCTGAGGCAGGAGAATGGCGTGAACCCAGGAGGCGGAGCTTGCAGTGAGCCGAGATGGTGCCACTGCACTCTAGCCTGGGCTACAGAGCAAGACTCCATTTCAAAAAAAAAAAAAAAATTGATTCTATTATACATTTTTGCAAAGATGTTTTAATGTCCCAGGGGAACAACTGTAACTTCCTAGCTAAATTTTTACCTTGGTGCTTGCATCTGCATAGAATCTAAACAAACTTAACAGGTCATTTTGCTCATGTTTATGGTATACACCAGGATCAGCAAACTATATGGGTCAAATTTGGTCTACCAGCTGTTTTTGTAAATAAAGTTTTATTGGAATACAGCCCATGCTCCTTTGTTTATGTATTGTCTCTTGCTGTTTTCATGCTACACTGGCACAGTTGAATAGCTGTGTTAGAAACCCATGGCTTTCAAAGTCTAAAATATTGACTATGTGACTTTTTACAGACAAGGTTTGGTGACCGCTGGTATAGACCAATTCCAGTTAAACTGAACCCATCTATGTTCTTCTGTAATATAAGGCTACTTGATTTATATATAGCCTAATGTCTAGGATTCTAAATTTCTAAGAATAGCCCTGGCTTCATGGGCATTTGGCTTAATGCTCTACTGTTGCCATGTTGGAATAATAATTGTTGAAAAGGGTCCTGCATTTTCATTTTACATAAGGCCCTGTGCATTATGTAGTTGGTCCTAAGAACATATATTTTTGCAACATTAAAGATCAAGATTTTCTTTAATCCAAATGTGAGGGAAAAATGAATTACTATCCCTATAACTGTACTTTTTTTTCTTTTTTCTTTTTTCTTTTTTTGAGACAGAGTCTCGCTCTGTCACCAGGTTGGAGTGCAGTGGCGCAATCTCAGCTCACTCCAACCTCTGCCTCCCAGGTTCAAGCGATTCTCCTGTCTCAGCCTCTCGAGTAGCTGGGACTACAGGTGCCCGCCACCATGCCCGGCTAATTTTCGTATTTTTTTTTTCTTTAGTAGGGACGGGGTTTCATCATGTTGGCCAGGATGGTCTTGATCTCTTGACCTCATGATCTGCCCTCCTCGACCTCCCAAAGTGCTGGGATTACAGGCATGAGCCACCGCGTCCAGCCCCTACAATTGTACTTCTATATAGGTTACCAACTTTGGCAAATAAAAATGCAGGATGCACAGTTAAAGGTGAATTTCAAATAAAAAACAAGCAATTTTTTAGTATAAGTATGACCCAAAGATTATATGTATTTTGTCTGTTAATTCTACTTCTACCCAACTGGTAAAAGCTCTTTAGAGGTAATAATAAAGAACTCATTTTAAATATCTACACTGCAGTTATAGGACATGCCACAGAAATTATTTTAATAACCAAGTAATTCATGAGATTAAAAATCCCCTCCTTGCATTTTCACTTTCTTGTTAGCGTTGGTCTTGGCTGAAGATTCTAATGCTTATCAATTCATATTTTCTGATAAAATGTTCAAATGGACCTAAAATTAGATATTCGTTCAGCATCCCTTTTCCAGTTATCCCCGGTCTAGATTTTTAGACCATTCTTCCCAGAGCTGTTAAATTGCCCCTCCTATCTAAGCAGATAAAAAAGGTTATGAATAAAACAAAAAGCAGACTGAGCAAGTATTTAAAAGGGCAGAGACTTTATAATTACTATAAAACTAGGTGATTAAATGTTGACCAGATGTTGTTATATGCTATTTTGAGGTTAAAAACATTGAAGTTGTAATATTTTGCTAAAACTTAAATTGCATAGAAATAAAGGGGAATAAATCAAGGGTAGTTTTAAAGAAATAATTTATAAATTAGTTCTATACTAAGGAAATTAATAAGTGAACTTGTATAAGTACAATTTCATTAGTATATAGGTAACATTAATTTGTATATATTTACTTAAGTATTAGGCTGATGAGTCATATAGATCAATAATTCCAGAAATTTATCCTCATGGTTTTTTCCATGTAAGCAGAATAGTCACAAAAATATATTTCTGAGGTAAAATTAGAAGAGATAGTCTATTTTTAAAATTTTTAAAATTAGTAGGTTATCAGGATATATGTAGGCATGTCATACTCTTTTAAACATTCCCTGAGCAAGGCGTATGCCAAACCTTTCTTTATGTGTTGTGTGCTGTTTTCTTTGAGTGATACAATTTAAAGTCATACGGTAATTCATACACTGACAGTTCATGTGCTTCATTTCCCTTTTAAAGGTGAAGTTAATAACCTTTAAAATGAAACACAGTACTCAATGAGAAATATTTTTTTAATCAATCAAATTGTATATATTTACTTTTCTAAAATCACTTAAAGATAAAAACGTTTGGGAAGTACCTTTTTTTCTAAGGCATGATTGATTATTTTCAGATCTGACAACTCAAAAGTGTTTATGAACATGTCATTATATTTCATTTTACTTTGAGACAAGGTCTCGCTCTGTTGCCCACGCTAGAGTGCAGTGGTGCAAACATGGCTCACAGCAGTCTCGACCTCATGGGCTCAAGCAATCCTCCTGCCTCAGCCTCCTGTGTAGCTGGAACCACAGGTGCATTCCAATGTACCTAGCTAATTTTTTGATTTTTTTTTTTGTAGAGACAGAGTCTCACTATGTTGCCCAGGCTGGTATTGAACTCCTGGGCTCAAGTAATCCTCTCTCCTCAGCTTCACAAAGTGCCGTGGTTATAGGCATGAGCCACCATGCCTTGCCTAAACATGTCATTTTTCCTTTGAATTTAGAAATACATATGCATGGATTTTTTTTTTCATAAAATAAAATCCTAAGTAGTTAGAGAGTAAAAAATAAGAAAGTTCCTATATATTTCACATTTTCAATCATGCATACAATGAAAAAAGCCAGTTGTTTTCCTGCATTTTTAGTTAACCATTAAGGATGTTAATTTCCTTCATAACACAGGCCATATTAGTTTATTCTACTATAAAGTGGATAGCTTTTAGATAGGGACAGGTACTAGAAGAAAGAGAGTCTGGATACTTGTAGGGTTTGTAAGTTATTTCCATGTGACTGAAACTTGATAAACATTTACTAATATAATAGGAATTCCTTTTTCAGGTGTAGGCATAATATAGATTCATCTTAATGACCCCACACATATTGCTGCCATATAATCTTTTCACAATGGCTACTTTATTATTTTATTATAACAAAATTTCAGCACATTGATAATATTTTAATGGTGTATAATTGATGTATTGGGGGTGTGGGCAGTAAAATATTTTAATAGTACATGATTGTTGTATTTGGGAATGTGGAAGTGTGAAAAAAATTAAACTTCATGTGGACCCTAGAATTGACTTTGCTCTTCCCATTGGTATTTAATTAGGATCTTTATGTTGAAACTTAACAAAATTTCAACAGAGTGTTGCTGGGCAACCTTTAGTTGCCTTGAAAACTCATAATGAAGGTTGAAAATTTCAATATATGAAGTATTTGTTTAAACTTTTCATTCTTACTTTCTCTGAAAGACGATACATTTAGAGACTTGTAGAACTATAAGTGAATGTTGCTATGTTTTGAACTATGCATAGTCTTGTTATTTAATGAAATTAGTGTAGTTGAAATATGAACTTAAACTATATTTTATAGTCATTGTTGCTCATGAAGGACTCAAAATAAGACATGAAGCTAGACTGAGAGAAATCATAGCTTACCCGGGAATCTGTCTTCATTCATTCAACAAATATTTATTTATTTAATGACTACTATGTAAAGTGCTGGGGATACAAACATGGATCAGATATTTCTTTCCCGAAGAAGTTCATTGTATGGTGGGTAACAGATATTTATAATTAAGACTTAGAAATAAGATACACTTATAAATATGACACAAAGGGTGATAGAATTATGCTTACAATATCTTGTGAACACCCTGGAGTGGCAATTTCCCAGTCTAGGTCTAGCAAGAGTGATCTGGCAAGGCTTCTGAGATGAATTTGTAACTTAACTGAGTTGTAAAATATAAAAATAAGTTAAAAAGTAGAAGTATATGGGAGAAGGATTTCAGATAGAGGAAGCTGCAGGAGAAAAGGGGAAGGAAAAAAGAACATGATATTGTGATACACGACATTTACTGTTTTTTCTGTGACCTTGATTCTCTGGCATCTCGGGCCTTGATCCTGGAGAGATTGCCCCTCCCAGAGCTAGCTAATTCCTAGAGATAGCAAATGACCCTCCTGCAAGTACACTTTTCATATACACACAAGCCAAACAATGCAGAGCCCATGCTCCTAACCATTTCCTTTATCAAACTCTCTTACACATCAACCTAATATTCTCCTGCCCTAAATCACCCCAGGACCAGGTATCAGACAACTAGGGACAGTTCCTATAGCCCAGAGTCCTGCAAAATTATTCAAGCTATCCAATCCTAAGCTTACTTAGTGTACCTACCCTGCCTTTCTCATTCCTTTTCAATAAATAGCCAACAAGGATTTGGGCCATGCTCTTTCGTCTCACCTCCTGACCTACCCTGGTCATTCCCCACATGGCCCTGCATGGTGTGCAGTGTCTACTGTTTCTAGGGATCTGTGAGTACGGACTTCTTCCTTCATGACAGTCATTTTTGTGTCAGCATGTCTTATATCTGATTAAAACAAACCCTAAGTACACTTTGAGAACAGACATCATAAGTAATTCAGGGTTAAAACAAAATGTGAGGTAAGGACAGGAAAGAAACAGGGATAGAGAGCCAGGCAGAGGTCAGATTGCACAGGACAAAGAAACTTGACCTTAAATAATGTGGGCAGATCCATATTAATATTGTTTTAGGCTACATATTTTTTTGGTCCCTGTGTGAGTAATGCCATTATTTTGAGTATCTCTGAAGAGTTTTAGTTTGGTCATACATAATCTCCAAATCTCCTATCTTGTAATTGACGTTGCTGACAGGTGAGAAAGTATTCTTAGAGACCGGAGAATAGTACCATCTATGCGTCTTTTTTCTTTTCTTTTTCTTTTCTTTCTTTTTTTTTTTTTTTAGAGGGAGTCTCGCTCTGTCGCCCAGGCTGGAGTGCAGTTGCGCCATCTCAGCTCACTGCAAGCTCCACCTCCCGGGTTCACGCCATTCTCCTGCCTCAGCCTCCCGAGTAGCTGGGACCACAGGCACCCACCACCAAGCCCGGCTAGTTTTTTGTATTTTTAGTGGAGACGGGATTTCACCGTGTTAGCCAGGATGGTCTCGATCTCCTGACCTCGTGATCTGCCTGCCTCGGCCTCCCAAAGTGTTGGGATTATAGGCATGAGCCACCCCACCCGGCCGTGTCTTTTTTCTAATCATCTTTATATTCTGCAAAGTAGATATTTACACTTTTGTAACCTCTAGGAGAACAAATAAGTGGGGAGTAGTGTCAGAGAACCCTTCTTATTTCTGATTCATCAAGGGCTCTGTGTTACCATGACTGACAAGACAAATTGTGACATTCACAATATGTTATTATTGGACATAAAACCATATTTTTTCAAAAAATCAGGAAAAGCAATTCATCAAATCCAATGAAAATATGTTACCAAGTGAAGCTAGATAAATTAGATTTGCATTGCTTTAGGAGTATACATGTCTCACATAGAGGACCTATAATCATTTGAAATGATATTGGCAAATGCTCAGGGACAGCTATGTCAGATTCTTCAGGAATTCATTCTCACTATGGAAATGGCTTTCAGACCTGCTTGTAATATAGAACATAGAATGCTATAGTACGCTGTCCTAACATGGAATAGAAATGAAATTCCAGGCACATCTGTCGTTTCTTATTTTCTGGAACTCTCTTCAAAATTCTTGAGGAGAAATTAAGGTGATGACTTCCTCTTGGAATTTTGCATTGTTGGGTAAATTACCTAGAAACTGATGAAAATAATATGCAATTTAAAATGTCCAATTAAAATCCCTTAGAAGTAAAATATATTCAAGGTTTAATGCTGGTTACTGTACTAACTTATGTGCAACAAAGGAATTTTGAAATATCTTTAAACTCTGGCATAATGTGGTATGATACTGCCCACTGAAATTAGTGATCTTTTAACCTGCCACTGGTAATATGCTAAGTTTTTCCTCTATTTTTATATGTCCCATTGTATTTAGCATCATCTAAGGATTTTAAAATGCACTATGAACTTGAAATACAACTTTCCACTTGAAACCGGGTAAAGTCTGGCTTTAAATGGAGAGTAAGCCTAGCCTATTTAGATACCCAAGTGACAGTTCAGAAGCTTGTGGCTTAGTTGTCCTGTGAGCCCCTCACACACTTAGATTTATGTTCTATAAAATCATGCCTGCCAGGCTTGCTTCATTGAGAACCAAGTGTGTCAGCAGATGCTGAAAGCCAGAAATCCCTATGCAAGGAAAAGCATTTCTAACTTTTTAAAAATGAAACTCAGTATTTGATTAGTGTATATGAAGACCATTTGTATTATCCTATATGCTGTCATAATCAAAAGGTTTTTCTGAATATATTGTTTCAGAAAACTGTTGTTAAACATCCCTGTCTATATCTACTTTCTTTTTCTAAATGTATATGAATGTGCATGTCCATGTCCATGTCTATATGTATACATATATCTAAATCTACATATCTATTAGGGGAGATAGGCTTAGAAAACATTTATGGAGAATGTATTGGAGAGAGAGTTAATATCAAAGCTTGTGTCAGTGGGCACCAATAGTGCACTGCCTTTTGGAAATATTCCCTATTACTCTTAAATGCATCTAGGTAATTAATATGTTGATGTTTTATTAGTACCTATTGAGCATAAAGCTTTTAAAATAGCAATAAGTGATATATTCACTCTCTCGTTATGTTACCGATAAAATATGGAAAATGTGTTGGGGGGCGGGTCCCAAAGACCACCACTGAGTGTGATGAGTTGCTAAGAGGACTCAGAGAACTCAAAATATAGAGTTACATTCGCAGTTAGGATTTATTATAGTGAAAGGCTGCGAAGTGAATTAGCAAAAGAAAATGGCCCATGAGGTGAAATTCAAAGGGAACCACACACAAGCTTTCAGGAGTCTTCTCTCGGTAGAGTCACACAGGACTTGCCCATTTCCTACAGCAACAGATTGTGACTACATGTCTACCAGGAAGGCTCACTGAAAACTACAGCCCAAGGATTTATTGGTGGCTAGTCATGTAGGCACCCTGTGTCTGGGATGTACAAAAATTTGAGACTTCCAGGAGGAAAGCAGGTATTCAGCATAAACCACATTGTTAATACAAACAGTTATGGCCCTCTCATCAGTCCTGACAATGGTAGAAACCCTCTCCACCTCCAAGTTTCTATACTCCAGCTCAGGGCCAAACTTCCAAGCACGGATTTCTAGGGATAACAGCTTCAGGCTGCTGTTAACTCTTTTCTGCACAGAAAACGAATATATTGACCTATTTGGATTCTTGCATGAGTATTAACATTATTTTTTCCCCTAGGGTATTAACTTACTTTAGCAGTTAAATTTACACACTAATTGAGAACAGTTAACTTCAAGGTTCCTTTGGGCCAACTAAACATCTGCTGTCTATAAATTTTAGATTACTGCAAAATAAATAAGATTTAATTTTCATTGCAATAGAGAATTGTATTTAAGATGTTATTTCTGTAAATGAATAGTAAGGCTAGTCTCATTCATCTTGGATAATATTTTTATACTTCCATTTCAGAAGATGAGATTCTCTGACCTTATTTTCTAATTTTGAGGGAAAACACAAACTCAGATTTATCAAATCTTGTGCATAGATTATGTTATCTTAAATTTGGGGAGCAAAGAAAGGGAAGGTATACATATGCTTGTGAATTAAATCAATAGCATTGATATTGGGTTATTGGTGTTTGATCGTCAATATATCTACCTTCTTTAATTCATTCCTCATACTGACCCGGTGTAATCATTAAAACACAAATCTGATAAAGTCATGCTTACCCCGAAGCTCTTCAATGGTTGCTCTGATTTTCAGTCTCTCACATTCTCTATGCTTCCTCTGCCACTGTGTCTTTGCTAGTCCCTCTACCTGGAACTCTGTTCCCTTCCTTTTTTACCTAGTGCACTTCTACTCATTCTTAAGCTTTCAGTTAATATATCACTTCCTTAATATTTCTGACTGTCTAGGACTGATTCCATTAGAACTGATAGGTTCATATAACATATTAACATACTTTTCTTCCCCGGCATTTGTCACAGTTGAAAATTTACATTTCTTAAAATGGCATTGATAATATCTGTCTTTCCCATTAGACTGACAACTCCTCTGTATTCTTAGTGTCTAGCAGAATTCCAGGCCCATAGTATGCATTAAATAAATATTTTTTACATGAAAACATTGAAACAGTTTCATTTGTTCAGTGCACTCAGATCATTAGAACTGAGGTAGGGTTCCAATTCCTACATTTGATATTTCGGATCATAAAGAACGGCAACTAAGCTCAAGAAAGGTTTACATAAAAACTAGGGTATGTCTAAGTCACCCTCCAGAGGAAGGATGGACATCTCTCCCACAAATTTGGTTCAGGTGTCAAGATTGATGATGCCACACATGCCACAAGAGGGTATGAAAGGCACATTATTTACATAATGAGACTTTCTGGGGAGAGCAGGGCATGTTTCTAAGCAGGTCCAAGACTGCCATGAAAAGCAGGGAAAAGAGACTCGCTTGGGATTTTACTGTGGTTAGGGGGTTGGGGCAAAGTGAGAATTCTTTTATGTATTGGCCAGGGCTTGTGTGATTTGAACTTCCTGTTGCCACCAGAGGAGGGAGCATCTGGGCTTTCTTATTAGTTTGCCCAGATGTGGTGCAGAGGAAGAAGAGGGAGGGGTGAGATTTGGGGATAGGGGAGGCTACTGCCTCCTGCAGGTGGAAATGGCCCGAGGTTCCGGGTTTGTCTTTGTAGCAAGGAGGCCTCAGTGGAAGTGCTGAGCTTTCCAGGTGCTGTTTTCATGACCCAAAGCATAATGTGCAAGTGGGTATGTGGAGTTGAGGGCTCAGGCCCTGTGAGAGCCTCCATTCTCAGGAGAGCACAGAATGCAGCCAGCAATGCTGTTCTAATGGTGTGTAGTATGGTGCCGAACAGGACAATGTTCACAGGACTCATCACAGAGTCCATACGCAAGTTATGGCCATTATAGGTGATCCAGATGTTCCAGGAGACATGAGAGGAGGTTTCTAAAATGAAGAAGTCTTGGGGGAGGGAGGCACTAGGGTGAATGCCAGCTGTACTGCAAATTTGGGCAGATTCTAGAGGCTTCTGTTGTAAAAGGGGGCCTCATTAAAGGGGAGCTGATATGTAACACCCTAAATGGTAAAATTTAAAATTTGGTAAAAAGTAAGTTTAACATGATAAAAAGTAAAATTTGTAATGCAGAATATGTTGCCTCCAGAATCCACAAGGCTTAAAAGATGTTGAGCATGTGGGTATTGAGGGTCAATGGCTGTTTCTTGACAGTGTCAGGGATAGAGTGATTCTTGACTTGCTAAATAATTTTCAGGAATTTAACCAAGGTGATGAGGCCTTGTACTGTGTGGGGGACAATGGCACATTTTTTCTTTGTGAACTTATTTGTGAATGTTTGCATGTACTGAATAAGTGTGTGAACTGACTCTCCTTAGAGGAAGATGTCATCAGCATGATGAAATTCCTCTGCTCCTGGAGAAGGTTGGATGAAGTTTAGAAGTTGCCTTCAAACATTGTGTGTAAAAGTCTATTAGGGGGTGCATAGATCTTCTGGAGGCCTGGAGGACCAGTCAAGAACAAAATGGACTTCCACTTCAGTAGGAAGAGGCTGGACATTGCTTTCCACCTATTTTGGGATTCTTCACAAAGACAAAGGTTTATTTTTATTTTTAACTGGTCTGCAAAGGCTATAAATACAAGCTGTACTGTATTATGAAGTCTTAGTCTTTGCTTGGGCACCATGCAGTTGCAACAGAGACCTCAGCTGATCCCATGGGTATCTGTGAAGTTGCAGTGACCCTAAGGCGATGCCCCAAGTTAAGGCAAAGTGTGGAGGTGGTGTGAAGGCTTTGTACCTTGCATTGCACAGTCACTGGGGAAGAGGAGTAACCTTGGGCCCAGAAGCTCCTTTTAGCAGAGGGCCATTTTTAGGAAACGGCTCAGCTGTGTGCTGTCAGTAAGCAAAACTCCTGGCATTTGGATAAATGAGTGCCTTAGTTTAGAAGAGAGGATTTGAGTGTTGTATAGCATCATCCTCTATAAATGAAGAATATATGTATTAGTCTGTTTTTTCACTGCTATAAAGAAATACCTGAGACTGGGTAATTAATAAAGAAAAGAGGTTTAATTGGCTCACAGTTTCCCAGGCTGTACAGAAAGCATGATGCTGGCATCTGTGTAGCTTCTGGGGAGGCCTCAGGAAACTTCCAGTCATGGCAGAAGGTGAAGGGGAAGCTGGCATGTCTTACATGTCTGGAAGACGAGCAAGAGAGTGAGGGGCAGATGCTACACACTTTGAAAGAACCAGATCTCAAGGAGGAGCAAGAGAGAGAGGGGGAGGTTCTATGTACTTTTAAACAATTAGATCTCACAAAAAGTCACTCAGTAGCACAAGAACAGTGCTGAGGGGATGGTGCTAACCCATTCATGAGAATTCCACCCCCATGTTCCAATCACCTCCCACCAAGTCCCACCTCCAACACTAGGGATTACAATTGAACATGATATGCTGTGCTCAGTGGCTTACGCTTGTAAGCACTTTGGGAAGCCGAGGTGGGTGGGTCCCTTGAACCCAAGAGTTCGAGACCAGCCTGGGAAACATGGCAAAACCTGTCTCTACAAAAACAAACAAACAAACAAACAAACAAAAATCAGCCAGGTGTGGTGGTGTGCATCTCTAGTCCCAGCCACTAAGGAGGCTGAGGTGGGAGAATCGCTTGAGTCTGGGAGGTCGAGCCTGCAGTGACCTGTGATCACCCCACTGAACTCCTGCCTGGGCAGCCAGGGAGACAGAGCCAGACCCTGTTTTTATAAAAAAAAAAAACCAAAAATATACTTGAATATGCAATTTGGGTGGGGACACAGATCCAAACCATATCAATGTGCCTCCTTTATTGTCTATAAATATGCTTGGTTACTGCAATTTCTACACTGCCTTGTTTGCTGCATAAGATAAATTAGCAGAGTAGCCATCCGATGTGGCTTTTTCCTCCCACATTTTGAATTACTCCTGTCAAGCCAGTGACCTGTAAAAGCCAATGGCATGCTGGGTGGCATTGTTCTTGAGGTGATTGCTCAGGATTTATACCTCCTCACTTCTGTTTAGTTTGGTCCTAGCCTGTTATCACTTCTCCATTTTGTCTTTCTAGCTTCACACTGAATTTTAATTTCTAAACCTCTCCTTGGCTGTCTGTCTGTCCCTGACTGATGGGCACTTCCCAGCCGCCTTCTATTCGGGAGACTGTGGGCTAGCTCAGTGGACTAGCCTAAGTGACAATTTAAGCTAGGGAAAAGGGAGAACGTACCAAAAGATGTTCATTGGAGAGGAAAATGATACAGAAAATAAAAATAATAATTCTCTGTCATTAGTCAAAACATTCTTTCAAAAGCCCCTTATGTTGTTCGACAATTGAGACATAACTGAATCTCCTGAACATATTTAAAGGTTATAGAGAGCCTAGAGTTTGGGACAGAAATAAATGAGATAAAATAAACAAGAGACTTTTGCCCTTTGCCTTGATCCAAATGCTAAAATGCTAGTTAGAAACGCCATACAAATATATTAGGCTGTACGTCATTAGAAGAAACCTAAAATATTATTGTGTTTACTGTTAAAAATTACTTGTAAAATTTTGAACTTGCTTTTATAACTCTAAACACAAGTGAAGTTCAATGTAAAAATATACATTTCCTTCTAAATATCAGCCAGTTAATCATATATGTATATAAATGTGGAAAATATGCTTCTCTCTCTTTTTATTTAAATTCTTAAATTCTTCAGGACTAAATAAAATTTAAGGAAGAGCTGCTTATGGCATCATTGCCCCTACTTTCCTGCCTCCATCCAATCTCCATATTATTCCTACACTAGTCTTATGTTTTCCAACATTACAGATTACTCAATTCACAATATGCAGAGGTCAAATTAGTATATTGTCAACCTCATTTTTTTTTTGTTTTGTTTTGTTTTTACTCTGGATGACGCATTTAGCATGAGTAACTCTCATAAGTGATTAATGATGGCTCCATACAGGCCAGTCATTTAATGCTTTATTTGGACTTTATTTTTGTTGTTGTGACATTTCAACCAATCATAAAATGTCACAGATGAAATTAAAGCAAACTAAGATTATATAGCTTAACATTTTATTTAGTTTTGGGCCATATTAAGATGCCTTTGTTTATACAGTTTTCTCCTACAATGAGTTTTATAATTGATATCTTAAAATAGTAAATGTAACTCAATGTATCATAACTTACTTAAATTGGATGTGGATAAAATGTGTAAACATACGCTTGGCAAAAGTGTGTGCAGTTTTATGTTGTAAGATTAAGTAATATATTGTAATTCTTATACACATTTCTAGAAAAGAAAATATTAAAGCAAATAATTTATTATACAAAGCACTTATCTGTAGACGGTTTTCAATAGATGGTTGTTCTCTTCTTACCAGCCCATAACTATAACTTGCTTTGGTTTATGTTAACAGATATTAAAGCAACTTGAATGTAAGAATATTGATATTATACCTGAAAAATATAGAATATTTTTCTTATAAAAGACTGAATTATTTTAAAGTCTTCAAAGTTGTCTACTAATTTATGTTACTGTCATTAAATAATGACCTTATCATTAAATAAATGACCTTACTCTAAGAGGTTAAGTGTTACTTGACAGCCTTTTTAATTATTTCAAAACAATAAGAGATATATTTCCATATTTCCAGAAATAATGTTATTCTTATAAGAAGTATTATTTTAAAATATCCATTGCAAGTAAGCTAAAAGAATAAATTAAGAAAACATTGACATTGTGAGAATTTATGGCTTATTCTGCTTGAAGCATTGGATTGTGATTTGAGTTTACTAGGAAAATATCCCAAATATCCTCCTTTTCTTCCTTTATTTTACATAGTACTGGCCAATTAGAAAAACCAAACAGAAATCTTTATGCTGCTAAGTGAAATGAGTGTTTGTACTTGTGACTCAAGTTTGTAGTAATGTGCTTTACTTTGGAATTTAAGAGTTTGGTTGTGCAAGAGAGGATGTGTGCCAATTATGCCTGCAGAAAGGGGCAAGTCTGAGAAATCTGCCCCCAATACCATGGAAATCTCTCTCTCTCTCTCTGTCTCTCTCAATCTCTTTTTGGGAAAAAAGAAAGACAAAGAAAACTATGGAGACAAAGAGAAAGGGTTTAGGTTTGCATGTGTGCTCCTGAAGTCTATCAATAGAAACAGGAACGTGGGGAAGTCGGAGAGATGTATGGATAAAAGGAAGAAAGGTAAACATTATGTCTGGGGCTTTTGTGTCATGATGAATTCCTCCCTACAAGAAGAGTTGGCTGGAAGCCCTGGGTAAAGCCGCTTCCATTTCCAGCCTCCTTTTCACTTATCTCTACTATTGAGTTTATGGTTAATTATTTTTACAAATCATTTCCCTCTTGCCCTCTTCCCTACAAATCAGTTGCTAAGTGACTGGGAGATAGAGTGACCTCCGAATTTATTCTGCTCATTATATCGTTAGATTTTTCCATATCACTTAAGGGATGGATTTGTTCATGTAAGTTCAGCACCTCTCCAGGATTCAAGATGACATTTCACCTAATTAATAGCCCCTATTGGCCTAGTTATTTTGAGGATGTGTAATTAAAGCAATGATACTACTTGTTCAGAGGAATTAAGATTTTATTTTGCCTTTTAAATTAATTGCCCAAAGTGTTTTTTTTTTTTTTTTTTTGCTTAAGTCTTATTATTATGCCCATATGTGTTATGATAAACATATTTTGAAAGGCCATCCTTACAAAAATTTAAAATGTTGAACTTTTAAGATTTAAAAATAAGCCTAGGCCAGGCGCGGTGGCTCACACCTGTAATCCCAGCACTTTGGGAGGCCAAGGCGTGCGGATCACCATCCTGGCTAACACAGTGAAACCCTGTCTCTACTAAAAATAGAAAAAATTAGGCGGGCGTGGTGGCGGGCGCCTGTAGTCCCAGCCACTCGGGAGGCTGAGGAGGCAGAGGTTACAGTGAGCTGAGATGGCGCCACTGCACTCCAGCCTAGGTGACAGCGTGAGACTCCGTCTCAAAATAAATAAATAAATAATAAGCCTATATATATGTACAATATTTTAATCTAATGGGAATTTCTTAAAGGCACTAATTTTGGCCTTTTATTTTTGAGTTGTTTATTTTTGTTCACAAAGTCCTCAGTATAGTGCCTCACTCAGAATAGATACTGTTAAATATTTATAGAATTATTCATTGAATCAGTGTGATGATAATTGGAATAAACTTTCTTTTAAAAATGTTTAATATTAAACATGACTATACATATAAATAATTCTACTTCTCTTTATAAGTAATTCTAAATAAAAATCAGAATGATTTTGTGGACAACATTCCATTGCTATTTTTAATTTGAGGTTTGCAGTCAATATGTATTTATCTTCTGTGATGTGAACTGTTATTTACTGATCTATCAAAATTATATATATAAGCATATATATAGCATTTACCATATATGAGATAATGTATTTTATGCTTTACAAATAGGTATCTTATTAATGAGGAATCATTAAGGAAAAAAATACCATCTTTTCTTTCCAGTAACTATTTAGAAAAAAAGACCATGTATAATTCACATGTGTACATATACAAACCTAGCAATGATTAAAGATGTGGAGAATACAAGGACGTTACATGCTGAGTATTCTGTGTGTCGGATGATGGCTGTGGTGATGGTATATAGGGTTTCTTGCAGTAACCAAGGAGCTGAGTTGTATGCCAGTTAATAGGTATAATGACAAAATGCATTGAGAAATGTTGAAGGAAAAGATATAACTAGGCAAAAAATAACAGTTTGGATACTTCACCTGTGTAAATGTTTTTTGTGATTGTTAGTGAAACCTGAATTGGTAGTATCTGTTGAACCAATTTAAGAATATTTTATTAATTTTACAAATTATAAGGATGACAGAAAAAATCTTATTTCTCTATATTAATACAATTCTGTATAGAATGTTTTAGAAAAATAAGTGAAATACTTGTGTCTAGGTTCAGGCTCCAAAATACATGAATTTTAGGAAGAACTAGGGGAGAAAATGTCAATTCCTAAGAGGCAATTTTTAAGATGTTTCAAGTGTTTGCTGGCCAAATTTTGGTGAGAAATGTAATGTGTGTTTAATGAATAGCATTTGGGCATTTAGATCTGACTCCTTATTGCCTCATGGATGAGATGTATAAATTTTGAAAGTTTCCTAACCATTTACCATTTAGACCTCTGGTTTCTCTATGAAAATAAGTTGCTTATGTGTTTACTATGTTTTCTTTTAGTTCAAAATACCTGAATCTGTTATTCTTTCACGTGCTGTAATAATATTTCACCTTATTAAAAATATGCATTTTTCATTATGAAACAAATATACATAAAAGTAGAGTTATTAATGTGCATATTTCTATCTATATTTTCTAAAACTATATTTGTAACTATATTTGTTTTAAAAGATTGGGGACATATTGTAATACTCTTTTGTTACCAATTTTTTCCATTTTACAATATATTATGAACATGTATCTGTGTCATAATTTATAAATAGCTAAGTGGAATTATGTTCTAACAATAATTACTTCATCATTTTCTTTTTATTGAACATTTAGTGTTTCTATTATTTTATTATAAATAATGCTGTGGTAAACATTATTAGGGATTAATCTTATGGATTAAAATATAGATATTTGATTACTTCTTTAGTAGAAGTTCTTAGGTATGGCATTGCTATTTAAATCTTAAATACATTGTTTTTCTTTCAACTTTTTCTGTTATGGCAAAATACACAGAACATAAAATTTGCCATCTTCACCATTTTTAATTGTACAATTGAGTAGTGTTAAGTACATTGATCATGTGCAACTATCACCAACAGTAGCATGTCGGAATTTCCTTCCTTTTTAAGGGTGAATACTTTTCTATTGTGTGTATATATGTGGCTATATATATATATATATATATATGCTATATATATATGTGTGTGTGCTATATATATATATATAGCACATTTTGCTAATCTGTTCATTCCTGGATGGACATTTGAATTGCTTTCATGTTTTAGCTAGTGTGAATAATACTGCTATGAAGACAGGTGTACAAATATCTTTTTGAGACCCTGCTTTCAATTCTTTTGGGCATATAACCAGGCATGGGATTGCTGGATCACATGGTAATTCTATTTTTCATTTTTTAAGGTACTGCTGTGCTGTTTTCCAGGGTGGCTGTACTAATTTTCATTTTCACCAATAGGGCACAAGGGTTCATATCTCTCCACATTCTCAACAACGCTTGTTATTTTCTGTAGTTTTGATTGTTTGGTTTTTAATTTTTTTTGAAATAATAGCCATCCCAATGGATGTGAGATGGTAACTTGAATACTTGAATAGTTTTTCTTTTTGAGATGGAGTCTCAATCTGTCGCCCAGGCTGGAGTGCAGTGGCACAATCTCGGCTCACTGCAACCTCCGCCTCCCGGGTTCAAGCGATTCTCCTGCCCCAGCCTCCTGAGTAGCTGGGACTACAGGTGAGCACCACAACGCCCGGCTAATTTTTTGTATTTTTAGTAGAGACGGGGTTTCACCATGTTGGCCATGATGATCTTGATCTCCTAACCTCGTGATCCATCTGCCTTGGTCTCCCAAAAGTGCTGGGATTACAGGCATGAGCCACTGTGCCCTGCCAACTTGAATATTTTTTAAAAAAATTATTTAGTGTTAGTTTCTACGTATTTTGGATTTGAATTTCTTTTTATCTGTATTATTTGAAAATATTTTCTCCCACTCCACAGGTTGCCTTTTCACTCTATTGACAGTATCCTTTCATGAACAAGTTTTAAATTTTTATGAAGTCCAATTTGTCTATTTTTGCTTTTGTTGCTTGTGTCTTTCATGTTATATCCAAGAAATCATTGACAATCCAATATTGTGAAGGTTTGTTCTATGTTGTCTTATAACAGTTTGATTGTTTTTGCTCTTACATTTAGATCTTTGATCCATTATTGGTTAACTTTTGCATTTGTTGTTAGGTAAAGGTCCAACTTCATTTGTTTGCATGTGAATATACAGTTTTCCCAGTACTGTTTGTTGAAAAGACTGTCCTTTCACCATTGGATGGTCTTGGCATCCTGGTTGAAAATTAATTGATTGTTTATGCCAAGGTTTTTTCTGGGGTTCCTATTCTATTTCATTGATCTATACATCAGTCTTTATGCTAGTACTACACAGTTTTGATTATTGTAGCTTTGTAGTAGGTTTTGAAATCAGGAAGTGTGGGTCCTTCCGTTTTGTTCTTTTTTCAAGGTTGTTTTGGCTACTTAAGTCTCCTTGAGACTTCATATGAATTTTAGGGTGGATTTGTCTGTTTTTGCAAAAATCAATGTGATTCTGATAAGGATTGCATTGAGTTTGCATATAGCTTTGGCTAGTATTGACATCTTAACAATATTAAGACATCCAATCTATGAACATGAGATGTCTTTCTATTTTTTATGCCTTTTAAAAATACATTTCAGTATTTTTTCTTTAGTTTTCATTGTACAAGTGTTTTTCCTTCTTGGTTAAGTCAATTCCTAAGTATTTCATTCTTTCTGATGCTATTGTAATTTGAAATGTTTTCATAATTTCCTTTTCAGATTGTTCATTGTTAGTGTATAGAAATGCAATTGATTTTTGCGCGTTAACTTTGTATCCTGCTGCTTTGCTGAATCTGTTTATCAGTTCTAACAGTTTTTTTTTTTTTTTTTTTTTTTTAAGGAATCTTAAGGGTTTTCTATGTAGAAAATCAGATTATCTGTGAACAAATATAATTGTACTTTTTCCTTTCAAATTTGGATGCCCTTTCTTTATTTCCTTCTTTCCTGTTTTTTTCCCTAATTGCTCTGGCTGAAACTTCTAGAAATTTGTTGAATAGAAGGTGTAAAAGTGAACATCCTTACCTTGTTCCTGATGTTAGAGGAATATCTTTTGCTCTTTCACAATTGAGTATGATGTTCACGATGAGTTTTTCATATATGGTTCTTATTGTGTTGAGATAGTTTCATTCTATTTTTAGTTTGTTGAGTGTTTTTTAAAATCATGAAAGGGTGTTGAATTTTGTCAAATGGTTTTTCTGTATCAATTGAAATAATCACATAATGTTTTCCTTCATTCCATTAATGAGATATACTACATAGATTGATTTTTGTATGTTGAACCATCCTTGCATTCTAGCAATAAATCTCACTTGGTCATAGTATATAATCCCTTTAATGTGTTGCTAGTATTTTGTTGCTAAGAGTTTGTCAATATTTTATTGAGGATTTTCCCATCAATATTCACAGGGATATTGGTCTGTGGTTTTATTTTCTTGTAATATCTTTGTCTGGCTTTTGTTTCAGGGCAGTGTTGGTCTCATAGAATGAGTCTGTAAGTGTTCCCTCCTATTCAATTTTTAGGGAAAGTTTGAAAATAATTGGAGTTAGTTCTTCTTTGTATGGTAGAATGGTAGAATTCATCAGTGAAGCCATCAGGGTCAGGGCTTTTTCTTTGTCAGAATGTTTTTGATTATTGATTTAATTTCCTTGCTAGTAACAGGTCTATTCAGATTTTGTGTTTTTTAAATTGAGTCTGTATTAGTAGATTTTGTGTTTCTAGGAATTTGTCCATTTCATTTAGTTCAAGCAATTTGTTGGCATACAATTAATCACAGTAATCTCTTATTGTCCTATTCCTTTTTTTAGAATTTGTACTAATGTCCCCACTCATATATCCACTTTCATTTCTGATTTCAGGAATTTGAGTCCTTCTTCTTTATCTTACTAAATCCAGCTAAAGATTTGTCAATTTTGTTAATCTTTTTAAAAAACAAACTTTCGATTTCAACAATTTTCTTTTTTGCTTTTCTATTCTCTATTTTGTTGGTCTCTGCTCAAATCTTTGTTATTTTCTACCATCTGTCAGGTTTGAGTTTAATATGTTCTTCTTTTTCTAATTCCTTAAGTTGCAAAGTTAGGTTGTTATTCAAGATCTTTCTCTCTTTTGTATTGTAAGCATTTGCAGCTCTAAATTTCTCCCTTAGCATTGCTTTTGTGGTGGCTTATAGGTTTTGTTATGTTGTATTTTCATTTTAATTCATCTCCTAGTATGAATTTATATTTTCCCTTATGACTTCTTATTTGATCCATTGGTTGTCTAAAAGTGTTTTTATTAATTTCTACAAATTTCTGAATTGTTAAGTTTTTCTCTGTTATTGGTTTCTAACTTCATACTGTTGTGACCAGAGAAAATAGTGTATTATATCTTGGACTAACATATGGCCTATTCTGGAATATGTCCCATGTGCACTTGAGAATATTGTATATTGTTTTGAGGAAGACGGTTCTGTATACGTCTATTAGCTATTGTTCATTTATTGTGCTGTTCAAGTTCTCTATTTCTTTACATATAATTTGTATTTGTATGGTTGTTATATTTACTATTTAGAATAGCATGTTGAAGTCTCCAACTACTGTCGTACATCTGTCAATTTCTCCTTCCAGTCTTGTGAATTTTTGCTTCCTATATTTTGATGGTCTATTATTAGGTGAATAAATATTTATAATTGTTATATCTTCTTTTATATTGAATGCTTTATTAATACAGTGTCCTGTTTGTCTCTTGTAAACTTTTTTTGATTTAAAGTTACTATGTCTGATGTTAGTATAACCATCCCTGTTCTCTTTATGGTTACTATTTGCATAGAATATCCTTTTTAGTTTGTTTTCAAGACAGGGTCTCACTTTGTTGCCCAGGCTGGAGTGCAGTGGTGTAATAATGGCCCATTGCAGCCTTGAATTCCTGGCTCAAGTGAGCCTCCTGCCTCAGTCTCCTGAGTAGCTAGGAATACAGGTGTGCACCACCATACCCAGCTAATTTTATAATTTTTTTTTTGTACAGACAAGGTCTTGATATGTTGCCCAGGCTGGTCTTGAACTCCTGACCTGAAGAGATCCTCCCACCTCAGCCTCCCAAAGTGCTAGATGCACAAATATATTTTTCCATCCTCTGACTTTCAGTCTATTTCTGTCTTTGGATCTAAAGCAAATCTCTCATAGATAGCATATAGTTGGATGGTGTTTTTTTTTTAAATCCATTCTGCCCATCTGTCTTTTGATAGAAGAATTTAATCTACTTACATTTAAAGCAATTACCAAGGAGGAACCTCTGACATTTTGGTATTTGTTTTCTGTATGACTCAGAGCTTTTTTGTCCCTCATTTCCCGCATTACTGTCTTTTTTTCTTTCTTTCTTTTGTACTAAAACATTTTAATTCCCTTCTGATTTTCTTTTGTATAGATTCTATAACTGTTTTTTGTATGTGTCTAGCATGGGGAATACATTTAATATGTTGAAGTTGTAGCACACCAATTTGAATTTATACCAACTTAACTTCAGTAACATACAAACTCTGCTTTTTTCCAGCTTTGTCCTTAATCCCTTTATTTAGTTATTGATGTTATAAATTACATTTACATTGTGTGTGTCCAAAAACAAGCAGTTCTTCTCAGTGCATTAGCCTCTTAAATTATGTAGAAAGCAAAGAGTAGAATTACAAATGATTATTGCAATAATACTAACTTTTATAATTATCTATATATTTTCCTTTACTGAGTTTTTACTTCCTCATATAGTTTTGAGTGTCCTTTCATTTTAACCCGAATGACTTTATTTAGCATTTCTTGCAAAGCAGGTCTAGTGGTAGTGAATTCTTTCAGCTTTTATCTGGAAATGTCTTAATTTCTTTCCTACTTTTGAAAAACAGTTTTGTTAAACATTAGATTCTTGGTTGACACTTTTTTTCTTTTAGCACTTTGAATATATTAGCCCACTCCCTTCTGCCCTCCAAAGTTTCTGATTAGAAATCTGCTAATAATCTTATTAAGAATCTCTTGTATGTGCTGAATCACTTCTTTCTCACTGCTTTCAATATTCTCTCTTTGTCTTTGGCTTTCAACATTTTAATTTTAATGTGTCTTAGCATGGGGTCTTTTTGATTCATCCAACTTGGCATTTGTTGAGCTTCTTAGATGTTTATATCTTTCATCAAACTTGGGAAGTTTTGGCAATTATTTCTTTATATAATCTTTCTACCCCTCTCTCTCTCTTCTTCTTTTGAAACTCCACAATGTGTAAGTTGGTTCACTTAATGGTGTTCCACAGGTTGCTTAGGCTTCGTTTAATTTTTCTCAATCCTTCTTTCTGTTCTTCATAATTAATAATTTTTATTGTTCTGTCTTCAAGTTCATTGATTCTTTACTCTGCTGCTCAAATCTTCCTTGGAGTTTGTCTCATGAATTTTTTTTCACTTCACTTCTTGTACTTTTCAGCTCTAGAATTTCTTTTTTTTCCTTTTTAGGATTTTTCTTTATTAATATTTTTATTGTTAATATGTTATTTTCTTGACTTTTTGCATGTCTTCCTTCAGTTCTTTGAGCATCTTTGAAAGAATTGTTTTAAAGTCTTTATCTAGTAGTTTTGCCATCTGGCCTTTCTCAGGGATCGTTTTCTGTCTATTTTTTTCTTTGACTGAGCCATACTTCCCTTTTTTTTGTATGACTTGTGACTTTTGTTGAAAACAACGTTATTCCTTTTAAAGTTTTTAATTTTCATGAGTACATGAGACATAGGTGTACATGAGATATTTGATATAGGCATGCAATGCATACAAATCACATCAGGGTAAATAGGGTATCCATCACCTCAAGCATTTATCCTTTGTGTTACAAATAAAGCAATTATAAATACTTTTAGTTTCCTTTAAATGTATATAATTATTATTGAACATTAAATTATTATTTAACCAGATTTTTCAATTTTTTTCTAATAGAGTCGTTTGAGCTCCTTATATATTCTGTTATTAATACTTTGTCACATAGATAGTTTGCAAATATTTTCTCCCATTCTTTGGGTTATCTCTTCACTTCATGGACTGTTTCCTTTGCTGTGGAGGAGTTTTTAACTTGTTATCCTATTTGTCTATTTTTGCTTTGGTTGCCTATTCTTGTGGGGTATTACTCAAGAAATATTTGCCCAGTTGAATGTCCTGGAGAGTTTCCCCAAAATTTTCCTATAGAACTTTTATAGTTTGAGGTCTTACATTTAAGACTGTAATCTATTTTGATTTGAATTTTGTTTATTGTGAGAGATTAGGGTCTAGTTTTATTCTTCTGCATATAGATATCCAGTTTTCTCAGCACCATTTATTGAAGAGACTGTTCTTTCCCCAATGTATGTTCTTGGCAGCTTTGTTGAAAATGAGTTCACTGTAGATGTATGGATTTGTTTGTGGGTTCTCTCTTTTGTTCCATTGGTCTGTGTGTCTATTTTTATGCCAGCACCATACAGCTTTGGTTACTATAGCTCTGTAATATAATTTGAAGTCAGGTAATGTGATTCCTCCAGATTTGCTCTTTTGGCTTAGGACAGTTTTGGCTACTCTGGGTATTTTGTGGCTCCATATACATTTAGGATTGTTTTTCCTGTTTCTATGAAGAATGTCATTGGTACTTTGATAGGAAATGAATCATATCTGTAAATTACTTTGAGTAGGGTATAGACATTTTAACAGTATTGATTCCTCCAATACATAAACATTGACTATTTTTCCATTTTATTGTGTTCTCTTCAATTTCTTTCATCAATGTAAAAACTGAAAATTTGAATCTACTAATATGATAACTATGGAAATCAGATTCTCCTTCTATCCCATCGTTTGCTGTTTTTAAATTTTGTTTTGTTTTGTTTCTGATTGGTGTGGGCTTTCTTCATACTGAGGATTAGCCTAGAAATTGCGAGCCTTCAATAGACTCCAGAGTTCCAAAATAGTTACCTCATGCAAATTCTGTCAGTCAGTGCAATTGTTGTCTAGGTAGGGAGGCAGATTACTGGTGCTTCCTACTTCACCTTTTATTCATTAGCAGTGTTTTAAATTTTATATACGTGAATACATCAGTACTGTCATTTTCATGTGCTTCTTAAACATTGCTTTAGAAATGTATCCATATTGTTACTTTTAGATTCAGTTTATTCACTTCAAGTCTTGTATTTTCTTTCATGAATACATTTCTCTCATGGTAGGTTGTTAATTTTGTTGACTTTTTGCTATTAAAAACTGAGATATAATGAACACGATCTCTCCTTGCATTTTGTGTCAAGTTTCTCAGTGTAGATACATACAAGTGGAACCATTGATTTGTTTAGTTCACATACCTTCAACCTTACCAACTATTGTCAGTTTGTTCTTTAATATTGTTGTATAGGAACAAGCAATTAGTGTCTTATATACTAACTATTGTATTAATCTTCTTATTTCCCTATAAAGTTGACAACATTAGGTATTATCAGATACTATTGATTTGTCACCAGAAATTCTTAATTATTTTATTGCTTAAAATAATTGGTGGTTGCTATTGCAATGTCTATCTAAACAATCCTGCAAACAGGGACAATTTGACTTCCTCTTTTCCTAATTGAATACCCTTTATTTTCTTCTCCTGCCTAATTGCCCTGGCCAGAACTTCCAACACTATGTTGAATAGGAGTGCTGAGAGAGGGCATCCCTGTCTTGTGCCAGTTTTCAAAGGGAGTGCTTCCGGTTTTTGCCCATTCAGTATGATATTGGCTGTGGGTTTGTCATAGATAGCTCTTATTATTTTGAGATACGTCCCATCAATATCTAATTTATTGAGAGTTTTTAGCATGAAGTGTTGTTGAATTTTGTCAAAGGCCTTTTCTGCATCTATTGAGATAATCATGTGGTTATTGTCTTTGGCTCTGTTTATATGCTGGATTACATTTATTGACTTGCGTATATTGAACCAGCCTTGCATCCCAGGGATGAAGCCCACTTGATCATGGTGGATAAGCTTTTTGATGTGCTGCTGGATTCAGATTGCCAGTATTTTATTGAGTATTTTTGCATCAATGTTCATCAAGGATATTGGTCTAAAATTCTCTTTTTTGGTTGTGTCTCTGCCCGGCTTTGGTATCAGAATGATGCTGGCTTCATAAAATGAGTTAGGGAGGATTCCCTCTTTTTCTATTGATTGGAATAGTTTCAGAAGGAATGGTACCAATTCCTCCTTGTACCTCTGATAGAATTCGGCTGTGAATACATCTGGTCCTGGAATTTTTTGGTTGGTAAGCTATTGATGATTGCCACAATTTCAGATCCTGTTATTGGTCTATTCAGAGATTCAACTTCTTCCTGGTTTAGTCTTGGGAGAGTGTATGTGTCGAGGAATTTATCCATTTCTTCTAGATTTTCAATTGTATATCTAGAAAACCCCATTGTCTCAGCCCAAAATCTCCTTAAGCTGATAAGCAACTTCAGCAAAGTCTCAGGATACAAAATCAATGTACAAAAATCACAAGCATTCTTATACACGAATAACAGACAAATAGAGAGCCAAATCATGAGTGAACTCCCATTCACAATTGCTTCAAAGAGAATAAAAGACCTAGGAATCCAACTTACAAGGGACATGAAGGACTTCTTCAAGGAGAACTACAAACCACTGCTCAATGAAATAAAAGAGGATACAAACAAATGGAAGAACATTCCATGCTCATGGGTAGGAAGAATCAATATCGTGAAAATGGCCACACTGCCCAAGGTAATTTACAGATTCAATGCCATCCCCATCAAGCTACCAATGACTTTCTTCAGAGAATTGGAAAAAACTACTTTAAAGTTCATATGGAACCAAAAAAGAGCCCGTATCGCCAAGTCAATCCTAAGCCAAAAGAACAAAACGGGAGGCATCACGCTACCTGACTTCAAACTATCCTACAAGGCTACAGTAACCAAAACAGCATGGTACTGGTACCAAAACAGAGATATTGATCAACGGAACAGAACAGAGCCCTCAGAAATAACACCGCCTATCTACAACTATCTGATCTTTGACAAACCTGAGAAAAACAAGCAATGGGGAAAGGATTCCCTATTGAATAAATGGTGCTGGAAAAACTGGCTAGCCATATGTAGAAAGCTGAAACTGGATCCCTTCCTTACACCTTATACAAAAATTAATTCAAGATGGATTAAAGACTTAAACGTTAGACCTAAAACCATAAAAACCCTAGAAGAAAACCTAGGCATTACCATTCAGGACATAGGCATGGGCAAGGACTTCATGTCTAAAACACCAAAAGCAATGGCAACAAAAGACAAAATTGACAAATGGGATCTAATTAAACTAAAGAGCTTCTGCACAGCAAAAGAAACTACTATCAGAGTGAACAGGCAACCTACAAAATGGGAGAAAATTTTCGCAACCTACTCATCTGACAAAGGGCTAATATCCAGAATCTACAATGAACTCCAACAAATTTACAAGAAAAAAGCATACAACCCCATCAAAAAGTGGGTGAAGGATATGAACAGACACTTCTCAAAAGAAGACATTTATGCAGCCAACAAACACATGAAAAAATGCTCATCATCACTGGCCATCAGAGAAATGTAAATCAAAACCACAATGAGATACCATCTCACACCAGTTAGAATGGCGATCATTAAAAAGTCAGGAAATGACAGGTGCTGGAGAGGATGTAGAGAAATAGGAACAATTTTACACTGTTGGTGGGACTGTAAACTAGTTCAACCCTTGTGGAAGTCAGTGTGGTGATTCTTCAGGGATCTAGAACTAGAAATACCATTTGACCCAGCCATCCCATTACTGGGTATATACCCAAAGGACTATAAATCATGCTGCTATAAAGACACATGCACACGTATGTTTATTGCAGCACTATTCACAAAAGCAAAGACTTGGAACCAACCCAAATGTCCAACAATGATAGACTGGATTAAGAAAATGTGGCACATATACACCATGGAATACTATGCAGCCATAAAAAATGATGAGTTCATGTCCTTTGTAGGGACATGGATGAAATTGGAAATCATCATTCTCAGTAAACTATCGCAAGAACAAAAAACCAAACACCGCATATTCTCACTCATAGGTGGGAATTGAACAATGCGAACACACGGACACAGGAAGGGGAACATCACACTCTGGGGACTGTTGCGAGGTGGGGGGACGGGGGAGGGATAGCATTAGGAGATATATCTAATGCTAAATGACGAGTTAATGGGTGCAGCACAGCAGCATGGCACATGTATACATATGTAACTAACCTGCACATTGTGCACATGTACCCTAAAACTTAAAGTATAATAATAATAAAATTAAATTAAAAAAAAATCCTGTTGTCTTCAGTGGAGAACAGTTTGTTTTTTTCAATTCGTATGCCAATTTTAAAAATTTCATTTCATTTGCAGGGTACTATTGAATAGAAACAATGATGGCAGACATCTTTATATTTTATTAAATCTGAGAGGGAATGCCTCTTTTTCTTGTTTTCATCATTAAATATGATATTTGTTGCTTTTGATAGAAAACTCTTACCCAGTTATGAAAAATGTCTCTTTTTCTAGTTGGTGAAATATATGTGTGTGTTTTAACCATGAATAGATTTGAAATGATATCAAATTATTTTCTCTATCTACTGAATATGACAAGAATTTTTCTTTTTTAATGTGTTAAATATATTGAATTATATTACTAGAGATTCTCAATTTGCCACATGCTTGTATACTTGGGATAAACTCTACTTGGTTTTCTGTATTATTTTTTCCTAACATATAATTTTGCTTGATAATTTTTAAAATTTTTCACCTGTGTGTTCATAAGATTATACTATAATTTTCTTGTCTTATATTATCTTTGTATGATAGTTTATGAACCTCAACAAATTAATAGGAGGATTTCTCACTTTTTTGTTATTTTATAACAGTTTGTATAAAAAGCAAGAGATACTTACATGTGTTAAAATCTCTCACTGTGATCGTGAATTTTTCAGCTTTCTTTGTAGTCTTATAATTGTTTTAATATTTGCTTTACACATTTTGAGGTAATGCTAAGTGCATATAAGTCCAAGACTGTTATATTTTCTTGGGGAGTTTCTCTTTTGTCATTAAGTAATGACTATTGTAATTCTTAATAATACTTTTTGCCTTAAAGGCTATTTTGTTAATATAAGATACTAGCTCTCTTTGGTTTAAATATTTTTTTATGTGGTAGGGGTATCTATCCCTTACCACTTAAAAATCTCTTTCAACGGCTCTGTGTTATGGCTTAGTCATGATAGCTTATAGCTTAATTTTTTTCTTTAATTCCATTTAATATAATAGTCACTGACTTCTCACTTTTACTGCTTTTCACTGCCTTTTGGGTTTTACGGTTATTGTAGAATTGTTTGTGTTGACTTCTTGTTATATTCCATCTCAGCAGTTCTGACTTTCCAAAATAATGGAAAGAACATTTTTTTATAATTTTAAGAAAAATATCTGAGAGTGCTACAATATCAGATCAGCTCACATAGATTATGACTTCTGTAACCCACTGCCATTTCCCCATCTACAATTTAAGCCATGCATAGTGTCTACTGTTTAGTAAAAAGAAAAGGAATTGGGAAATTCCTGTGATACAATTTCTTA
The DNA here is from genome assembly GCF_000001405.40 of Homo sapiens. Lineage (NCBI taxonomy): Eukaryota > Metazoa > Chordata > Mammalia > Primates > Hominidae > Homo > Homo sapiens. The sequence continues at coordinate 86,204,736 of NC_000004.12, read as the reverse complement.
ACAAGAGTAATCTCATTGGAGTTGGAAGAAGGAAAGAAATAATGACAAAAAGCTGTTCTGCAGTGCCCCAGAAGTCCTTAAACATGGCTGGATTTACAAAACTGAAGTTGTCACCGTTCTGAGGTTCCTCTTTTGTTTCCATTCAGATTCCACACATTATTTCTCATATTTGTATGCTGTCTATGTCTATGCTTCCCATATTACTGGATCATTATAGTATTGGGAATAATTTGTTGTACTAGCTATCTTGATTGGTGTCCCTTTCTCTCATTGGTGATAACTCTAATGTTAATTAATTTTCTTCCCACTGGTTGCAAATCATACTATTTTGTGTCATCAAAATTAAAGAATTTTACTTCTATCTTGTTATATGAACAATATTTTAAGAAACATCTAAGTTTTAGATGTAAAACTATGGAGATATTATTTATGAGAAATTAGATATTATTTTAGAAATTATTTTGTGCATTTATATACTTATGGTTGGAGACATTAAATTAGTTTGGCCTTTCTATCGAGGCTAATGGTATACTTCTGGTTCTTTGTCAGTTAGCATGCTCTAAATCAGAGGTTGGCAAACTTTTTCTATAAAGGCCAACTAATAAGTATCTTAGGCTTTATAGCTTATGCAGTTCCTCTCACGATTACTCAGTTTTGCCACTGTAATGTGAAAGCAGCCATCGACAATTTATAAACTAATGGATGGCTATGTTCCGATACAATTTTATTTATTAAAACAGGTGATTAACTGAATTTGACTGATGGACCATAACTTGCTGCCTCGTGCTCTAAGTGATAGCACATCTACTTAAGAATTTGACAGTATGTTAAAGTGAGCATATGCACAGTTCTTATTAGAAAATTAAATTTAATTCTATTTTCTACTGCAGCCCCTGAAAAGATAATTACTTGTTTCAAGGCATATTTTTCATCTGGTCTTTTGCATATTATAGGGAGAATCCTTTTGAACATGGAAGAGACAGAGTGTGTCTATGACAGCTTGCAAGCATATGTATGATACAAGAACACAAAGTCATTTTTAATTAACAATGACTTTGTGTTCTTGTATCATACATATGCTTGCAGGCTGTTATAAAAGTCATTCATAGTAAATCTGCTATGTAATAAATACAAAAATTACTTATAAGTAATGACATCGTATACCGATTGAACTTAGAAACTGTTGGAACTTTTTTTTTAAATAATTAGTAGTTCATGGTTTTTCCTTGTATATATTGCAGTTCAGTGACAAACCATGGAATCCTGGAGCTGCCCAGAACAATTTGATTTTTGCATTTGTGAAGCTTCTTAAACCTCCTGTGGTTTAGTTGACACATCTCAGATACACAAGAATTTAAACATTGATCTAAGCTGTGAAAACACGTCATAGTTACATTATCTTACAGCAGCTGCTGTGCACCAATTCAGCCTAATAAATTCTTAAGTGTATTTCATTCATGCAACTTGGCCTATTGCTTTGTTTGGAGTATCCAGTAATTCCTATAGACATATAATAAAGAGAAACTCAGTACAGTGTATAGCATAGCAAGAAATGCTCATATGGGGCTTTTCCCAAAAGAACAACTAGTGATTGAAAGCACTAAACTCCCTAAATTAGCATCTCCTTCTCTTTCAAGCTACTTACAGGTCCTATATTGCACCAAGATATTGTCACTAATTTCACTTTAGCATAATATTGAGATACCACCTTGATCATCTGTGTTGTTTCTATACAATGGGCCAAATGCTCTCTGCCATGCTACCAGGAAAAACAATTAGCAAACGAATTTTTTGTAATTTGCTGGGATTGTCATAGTAAACATTTTTTATCTTTTAAAGTGTCTTCCTAGAACAAGAAGGTTACGCAGTGACTTTGTAAATTTTTAGCTATGGTGTTACACTGGAGTCTTTGTAATGCAAACTAGGAAAGATCAGGATGCCTGCTTTTCATAGCAAGATTATTCATTCATTAAAAGTTAAAACACATTGTTTGTTTTGGGGCGGTGGTGCTGGATGTTATTATTTCCCACATGCCCACTTCAGCAGTAGAGAACTGAAACGTCACTGCTGGGTAGCATTTCTGAAGTCATTGTGCTTGGATTATTTCCTTCATATTTCTACTACTGCAAACTCCTTGCTCCTAATTTGTTAGTATCAAATGTATCGCAAATTCACAGGTTTCAATATGAGGAGATAATTTAAAAATGTAGATTTGTACTTTTAAAATTGGGTTCTTCTTTCATTCAGTAAACATTTTCTCAACATTATCTATATACCAACAATAGTGGTAGGCCCTGGGGTTGTGAAGATTAATAAAACATAGTCATTTTCCTTGAGAAGGTCTTAAATAGAATGGAAAAGACATACAAATGAATGGTTACAATACTATACGATATTCATAACAAAAGTAATGAACAAAGTGCTGTGAGAAGACTGAGGGAAAGATCAAAGAGTGACTGGAAGACTTCCCTGTTTAATGTATGCTGCAAGACAGTGAGCAACAATGAAACAATGTATTTTGAATGCTGAAAATGAACAGTTTGAAAATAGAAATAAAATAAAAATACCATTTAAAATAATATCAAAACCCATGAATGATTACAAATAAACCTTAAAGAAGAGTATAAGAACTATACCCCTTTGTACTATGTGAGTAAATACAAAGTAACTTTTTGGTAATTTCTTTCAAATATAATTGCCTCTTTAAAGCACAACTAATAGCAATGTTTTATGAGGTCTATAATGTGTGTATAAGTAAAATATGTAACACAATAGCTCAAAGGATTGGAGAGGAAAATGGAAGTATACTATTGTAAGTTTCTTAAACTATATGTGAAGCAGAATATTATTTGAAGCTGGATTATTATAAATTAAAAATGTAGGGTGTTAACTCTAGAACAATCACTAAAAAAAGAAGAAGAAAAAGACGATTTAAAGCTTCACAAAGAATATATAGGAGAATATCTCTGTGAACCTGGGGATAGGCACAAAGCCAAAAACAAGCTAATCATAAAAGGAAAATAAATAAAAAAATAAATTCATAAAATTAAAAATACTACTAATTTAAAAATAACATTAATAAGCTGAATATGCGAGCTGAAGGCTGAGAGAAAATATTTGTAATGCGTGTCTCTAACAGAAGACTTTTATCTGGAATAGATAAAGCATTTCTATAATTTGTAATATAAAGATAAAGCCTTCTCTCCATCCACAGTCCACTATCCATTGAGCAAAAGACTTGGAAAAGCACTTCACCAAGGAAGATAAATAAATGGCCAATAACATATAAAAATTTCTCAAAATTTTTAGTCAGCATTATATTTTTAAACACTCCCTAAAATGATTAAAATTTAGAAAACTGATTACATCAAATGTTGGCAGGGATGTGAAGCAACTGAATTTTCTTACATTGCTGCAGGAGATTGAAAATGGTTCTGGCAGCTTTTAAAAAGTTAAACATATTCCTTCAACCTAAGTGTTTATCAGCAGAAGAATGGATAAATAAACTGTGGTACATACATATACACAATGGAATATTGTTAAAGCATAAAAGAGAATGAGATCCTGTCATTTACAACAACATGGACAGAACTGGAGGACGTTATGTGAAGGGAAATAAGCCAAGCATGAAAAGACAAATGTTGCATGTTCTCACTCATATGTGGGAACTAAAGAAATTGATCTCATGGAGATAGAGTAGAATGATGATTACCAAAGGCTGGGAAGGGTAGTGGAGAGAAAGGAGTAAAGAGGGAATAGTTAATGGGTACTGAAATATAATCAGATTGAAGCAATAAGATTTAGTGTTCAGTAGGATGATTCTAGTTGACAATAATTTATTGTATATTTTAAAATAACTAAAAGAGTGGAATTAGAATGTTCCTAACACAAAGAAATTATAAATGCTTGAGGTGATGGATATCTCAATTACCCTGATTTAGTCATTACACATTGTATGCTTGTATTAAAATTTCACATGTACCCCATAAATATGTATAGCTGTCATGTATCCATAAAAATTAGATATTAAAAAATTACACATATTATTCCTCAATCCAATAATTTCTTCTCTACGCATTTTCCCTAAGAGAAATGAAAACATACTTATACAAAAAGACACGTTCATAAATGATCATAGCAGCATTATTATAATATCTAAAAAATAGACACATCTCAACTATCCAAATGCAGAATCAATTAACAAGCTATGGTACATTTTTGTCAGCAATGGAAAGGGACAATTACTGATAAATACAGTAACGTGGATGAATACTAAAGACATTTTGCTGAGCAAAAAGAGCCCAATAAAACAGAATACATACTGTGTAATTTCATTTACATTAGTTCTGGGAGAATAACTAATTTATAATGAAAGAAGTTAGAACACTGTTTGGAGGGTGAGGAGTATTTTCCAAAAAAGGCACATGGGGTTTTCAGACTATTCTCTGTTCATTGAAATGTGTGTTTCAGGGATATATGCATTTTTCAAAATTCATCCACCTGTACGCTTAAGAATGGTTCATTTTGCTGTGTAAATTAGACTTGAATCAAAACTATTTTGTTAAAAAATTAAAACATTAACAAAGTAGTGGTTACTGTCTGGCAAAAATTATACATAAAATCCCTGGACACGCAATAAAATAACATCACAGGTTAAAATTTACAGAGTAAATTGCTCCTTTTGTTTTGTTTTTTACTTACTGATTATAGTTAGTATTTTTTTCCTATAGAGAATTTATTTTCAAATATAACAAAAAATCTAAAATGGGAAAAGTTCTATAATTTATTAATTCAGTAGTTTAATGGTTCCTTTTATCTTCCTGCTTTACAAACCTCAGCATTTCTCCTCAAGAGTATTTCCTATTAGTGGCTATTATGAGTGTTTGGTACATCATACCAAACGTGCATACACATCCATGCATACACAAGGCCCAGCAGAACACTGAAGGACCACTAATTCCTTGTGTCACTTGACCTTTTTTCTGTAAAATATTTCAGACATATCCAATAATATATGTTTCATATGCTTAAATAATGTTTGATATGTTTCATAGGGTTTAAATAATGTAACAAACATGTGTGAACCCCACTGCCCAGCTTCAAGAAGTAGACATAGCTAATGTCTTTGAAGCTCCCTGCACGCCCCTTCCCAGTGGCACTCCTCATCTCCCCAGGATAATTATCTCATCTCTTGGATTTTGCTTTTTTTATTCCTTTGCTTTCAAAAAACAGTTTTATCATACTAAAGCAATATTCTTAAATAAGATATTGTTTAGTTGTGCATATTTTCAAAATTTCATAAATGGATTAAGTATAACATAACAAAAAAAAGAGATGTTGTCATATTTGATACTTGTTTCACTATTCAACTATTTCATTGCTATATGGTATTCCACTAAAGGAAAATACCACAATTTATTTATTCATTGTTCTTTCTATGAATATTTGTTTTTTTCCAGAGTTCATTTTTATTATTTATTGCACTATTATAAAAATATTCTAATGAATTTTCTTGTACATGTATACTGGTATAAAAACATAAGAGTTTCTCTAGGAATATGTGTAGATGTGGAATTATTGTGTTGTAGGCTATGCACAAGTTTACTAAATAATGGCATTTTCCCTCTAAATTTAGTTGTTCCAATTGCCACACCTATTAGTAATGTACAAATATTCAAATCAACCTCCTTCCAAATACTGAATATGTATTATACTCTTCAGCTTTTGACAATTTGAAGGATATAAAATAGTATCCCAATATGATTTTAAGGTACGCATATATTTGTGAGTGCTCGTATATTTCTTTTTTCATGAAATTCTTCAATTTTTTGGGTTTTATTTATATATTGGTCCTTTGTCTTTTCTTCTTGATTTTTAAGGAGCTTTTTATAGATTCTCAATAAATTTTTCACTGTTTATATGTATTTTGATTTTTATTTCAAACATGTGGACTACTTTTTATACTAATTATCACATATTTTAATACACAGATTATTAATTTTAATATAGTTTATTTTATTAATATATTTTTCAAAGCTTAGCATATATATTATTTATGACTTATTTCACAGAAACAGTCAACCATATTTTCTTCTATATTATTTAAAGTTTGGCCTTTCCTGAAATTTCTGATCTGTCTGGAATTATTTTTTGTGTACAACGTGAGGTAGGAATTGTTGAGAACGCTGGAGAGTCTGAGATGTTACCTTACTTGCAAGTTCATAAATTAGCCTTTGACAGTTTTATGAATATTGGCAGAAGATACAAGACTCCTGGGTCAGATACGAGGGTCTTTATTACTCAGAGCAATAGCAGCAGTTAGAATGTCAGAACTCATGTCAGTTCCTCGGGCCCCAGTTCCCATAGGATGATGTAATGTTCAGGTGACCTCAGCACACACAGTTGCATTACTGAAGAGAAACCTCAAGCTAAGGGAACCCAAATCTTTTGTAATGGGCAGGAATCATGCCTGACCTTTGCCCCAGAGAGCCCGCCCCATAGTCATTAGATCTACCCTTTTCTCCAGAAGGAGACACTACCTCTATCTTTCAAGGCTGTCTGCTATATAATCATCCTTAGCAAGATGGTCTGGAACAAACTAGTGTTTCTGTTTGCAAAACATGCGGAAATATGAGAGGGCCATAGAGAATTGCCTTCCAACAGGAATCTAGTTTCTCCCCATCCCCATACAATGACTAATTGGGGTGGATCAGCATGATTTAATGCATAGTTTCTTCTTTCCTCAGATGTCTGCAGTGCTTACCTTGACATAATCAGGTTCCCATGTATGTCTGTGTCTGTTCTGGGCTCTGTATTCTATTAATTCATAGTCTATCATGACATCAATGCAACATATTTTTACTTATCACACCTTTATAATAGTTCTTGATCTCTGGCAGAATACTTCCCTTGCCGGCGCTAGGCAAACAGCCACTTGTTCTTCTTCAGGAATGTCTTATATATTCTTATCCTTTCAGTCTTCCTTAAATTTAAAAAACCTGCAGAAGTTCCAATGCAAAACATTTTTCCTTGCAATTCAGACCTTCCCTCTCAGATTATTTTGCTTCCTCCTACAGTTTATTGAAAACTTCCTATAGTAAGCTTTATGCAGTGTCTCCAGTATGACTTCCCACTGTAGATAGGTCTAAATCTTGTTTCCTGTACTCTGCATGCTACATTTTAAGAACTGAAGTTCTGAGTGGCTGGCAAGATGGCTGGCAAATTGTCTGTGTTTGCAGATGACATGATTCTACATTTAGAAAACCCCATTGTCTCAGCCCCAAATCTCCTTAAGCTGATAAGCAATTTGAGCAAAGTCTCAGGATGCAAAATTAATGTGCAAAAATCACAAGCATTCCTATACACCAATAGTAGACAGAGAGCCAAATCATGAGTGAACTCCCATTCACAACTGCTACAAAGAGAACAAAATACCTAGGAAGACAACTTACAAGGGATATGAAGGACCTTGAAGAGCAAGGAGAACTATGAGCCACTGCTCAAGGAAATAAGAGAGGACACAAACAAATGGAAAAACATTCCATGCTCATGGATAGGAAGAATCAATATTGTGAAAATGGCCATACTGCCCAAAGTAATTTATAGATCAATGCTATCCTCATCAAGCTACCATTGACTTTCTTCACAGAATTAGAAAAAACTACTTTAAATTTCATATGGAACCAAAAAAGAGCCCATATAGCCAAGACAATCCTAAGCAAAAAGAACAATGCTGGAGGCATCATGCTACATGATTTCAAACTATACTACAAGGCTACAGTAACCAAAACAGCATGGTGCTGGTACCAAAACAAATATATAGACCAATGGAACAGATCAGAGGCCTCAGAAATAATGCCACACATCTACAACCATCTGATTTTCGACAAACCTGCCAAAAACAAGCCATGAGGAAAGGATTCCCTATTTAATAAATGGTGTTAGGAAAACTGGCTAGCCATATGCAGAAAACTGAAACTGGACCCCTTCCTTACACCTTCTACAAAAATTAGCTCGAGATGGATTACCGACTTAAACATGAGACCTGAAACCATAAAAACTCTAGAAGAAAACCTAGGCAATACCATTCAGGACATAGGCATGGGCAAAGACTTCATGACTAAAACACCAAAAAGCAATAGCAACAAAAGCCAAAACTGACAAATGGGATCTAATTAAAGAGCTTCTGCACAGCAAAAGTAACTACCATCAGAGTGAACAGGCAACCTACAGAATGGGAGAAAGTTTTTGCAATGTATCCATCTGACAAAGGGCTAATATCCAGAATCTATAAAGAACTTAAACAAATTTACAAGAAAAAAGCTTACAACCCCATCAAAAAGTGGGTGAAGGATATGAACAGACACTTCTCAAAAGAAGTCATTTATGCAGCCAACAAACATGAAAAAAAGCTCATCACTAGTCATTAGAGAAATGCAAATCAAAACTGCAATAAGATAACATCTCATGCCAGTTAGAATGACCATCATTAAAAAGTCAGGAAACAAAGATGCTGGAGAGGATGTGGAGAAATAGGAATGCTTTTACAATGTTGGTGGGAGTGTAAATTAGTGCAACCATTGTGGAAGACAGTGTGGCAATTCCTCAAGGATCTAGAACCAGAAATACCATTTGACCCAGCAATCCCATTACTGGGTATATATCCAAAGGATTATAAATCATTCTTCTATAAAGACATATGCACACTTATGTTTATTGCAGCACTGTTCACAATAGCAAAGACTTGCAACCAACCCAAATGCTCATCAGTGATAGACTAGATGAAGAAAATATGACACATATACACCATGCAATACTATGCATCCGTAAAGAGGATGAGTTCATGTCCTTTGCAGGGGCATGGATGAAGCTGGAAACCATCATTCTCAGCAAACTAACACAGGAACCGAAAACCAAACACTGCATGTTCTCACTCATAAGTGGGAGCTGAACAATGAGAACACATGGACACAGGGAGGGGAACATCACACACAGGGGCCTGTCAGGGTGGGGGCCTAGGGGAGGGATAGCATTCAGAGAAATACCTAATGTAGATGATGGGTTGATGGGTGCAGCAAACCACCATGGCACATGTATACCTATGTAACAAACCTGCATGTTCTGCACATGTATCCCAGTACTTAAAGTATAATAAAAAAATACAAATAAAAAAAGAAGTAAAGTTCTAGTCATCAGACATCAGCAGACGGCCTGTGACAAACAGCGGCCTCAGCTCATTTACTTCTCTGCATGTATTCTTTCACATTGTTTTCAACTTCTCAGAACTTTTCATGCCTTTATTTTTGACCACTCAGCTATGCATTCTGAAAGATGTTTTGTGTATTTTATGTTAACATTTTTAGGGATTTTGCACTGATAGTGATTTTCAGGACATCTATCAATCCTTGCCAGAAATGGAAGTCGCATATTGATGGTGTTTTTAAATGGTTTAATCTGACAGTATTGTGCGTTTTGCACACAATCAGCATTCAACAAAGTGTGTTTAATTGAACTCAAAACAATTTATTTGGGTTTCTCTGATGTTGCTGTGTCATTCTCAAATAACTTAGTACCTAATTTGGCATTACTACCATTAGATAACTTTTCCTCTTAAAACTGTGCAAACTTATAGAATATTTTGAACATACAGAAAATGATATAATTGAATTTTTGTACTTCCCACCAAGATTAAACTTATGTTAATATGGTGCCTAATACTTTTTACTCCACAATTATATTTACTTAAAAGCAATATATAATCATTTTTGTATATTTTGTAATTTTAAAATTTCACACAAATATAGTATATTCCTTATATCTGTTACAAACTGCTTTTCTTCTCGGTCAATATCATGTTTGAAAAATTTATCTATTACTGATACAGTAAGCTCTAATATAATTACTCCAAGTCCTATATAGAATTCTATTATAAATTATATTTTATTTAATAGTGCTTTTATTCTACAATAAATATATATATCCTGTTGAGCATATGTTTGAGAGTTTTTTTTTGTAAATTAAATGTTAAGAACTGAAAATGCTTTATAACAGGATGTATTTCCCTTTAAATTATTAGGTATGTCCACTTTCTTATATCTAATCTTTATGAGTGTGATGGAATTGATCATTATAAAAGATAGGACATTTTAACCTTATTTCATTATTAAATACAATTTGTGAAAGGTATAGTACAGGTCAAGATAAGGATTATGTTGGAGATATGTTGTGCATGGTACTTTGCATATAACTCAAATTATGCCAAAATCTATATTGTTATATAATGAAAAACTAGTGATTTGAAAATTTATGCTCCATTTCTTTTTCCTCTAGGTATTTATGAGCCTCCATTTCTTATACTACTGCAGTGAACCAACATTGGATGTGAAAATTGCCTTTTGTCAGGTGTGTGTTCCTTACAGGTAAAACAAGGTACAGTATATTCCCTTGTATTTCCACTTTGACATACCATTTGCATACATTCCACACCAAAGTCAGTATTTATATCATATTAACAGTAGTTTAGAATTAGGAGCTGGCAAGACGGCTGAATAGAAACAGCCCCAGTCTCCAGCTCCCAGCAAGATCAACGCAGAAGACGAGTGATTTCTGCATTTCCACGTGAGGTACCT